>NT_167247.2:3183134-3324087 GCF_000001405.40 Homo sapiens
GGCCAGGCTGGTCTCGAACTCCCGACCTTGTGATTTGCCCACCTTGGACTCCCAAAGTGCTGGCATTACAAACAGCCACCATGCTGGCCCATTTTTCATTTTTCAAAAAGAATAAATCTTCATGTGTTCTACTGCAACTTTCTGCTTTTCTGGGGGGCGGGGGGGACAGAGTCTTGCTCTGTCGCCAGGCTGGAGTGCAGTGGCGCGATAGCTCACTGCAACCTCCACCTCCCAGGTTCAAGCGATTTCTCCTCCCTCAGCCTCCCGAGTAGCTGGGACCACAGGCGCGCACCACTATGCCCAGCTAATTTTTGTATTTTTACTAGAGACGGGGTTTCACCACATTGGCCAGGGTGGTCTCCAACTCCTAGCCTCACCGTCCGCCCGCCTCGGCCTCCTGAAATGCTGGGATTACAGGCGTGAGCCACCACGCCTGACATTTACTTATTTCATTTATCTTTGAGATGGAGTCTCGCTCTGTCGCCCAGGCAGCATGTAGTGGCGCGATCTCGGCTCACTGCAAGCTCTGCCTCCCAGGTTCAAGCCATTCTCCTGCCTCAGCCTCCGGAGTAGCTGGGACTACAGGTGCCCGGCTAATTTTTTTGTATTTTTAGTAGAGACGGGTTTCATTGTGTTAGCCAGGATGGTCTTGGATCTCCTGACCTCGTGATCCGCCCGCCTTGGCCTCCCAAAGTGCAGGGATTACAGGCGTGAGCCATCGCGCCCAGCCTTTTTTGTTTTTTGAGACATAGTTTTGCTCTTGTTCCCCAGGCTGGAGTGCAGTGGCACTATCTTGGCTCACCACAACCTCTGCCTCCTGGGTTCAAGCGATTCTCCTGCCTTAGCCTGCCAAGTAGCTGGGATTATATGCCACCACGCCCGGCTAATTTTGTATTTTTATTAGAGATGGGGTTTCTCCATGTTGGTCGGGCTGGTCTCCCGAACTTAGGTGATCCGCCAGCCTCAGCCTCTGAAAGTGAAAGTGCTGTGATTCTAGGCCAGAGCCACCACACCTGGCCTGCAACTTTTGTTGTTGTTCATGTATTTTCCTGTAGTTCATTTGGAGTCCACCCTTCCATACACATTTGTGGACATAAAAAACTTCAGGGCCTGGCATGGTGGCTCATGCCCGTAATCGCAGCTGAGGCGGACAGATCACCTGAGGTCAGGGGTTAGGGACCAGCCTGGCCAACATGGTGAAACCCCATCTCTACTAAAAAAAATATAAAAAAGGGCCAGGCTCACGCCTGTAATCCCAGCACTTTAGGAGGCCGAGGCGGGCAGATCACGAGGTCAGGAGATCAAGACCATCCTGTCTAACACGGTGAAACCCCGTCTCTACTAAAAATACAAAAATCAGCCGGGCGTGGTGGCGGGCGCCTGTAGTCCCAGCTCCTCGGGAGGCTGAGGCAGGAGAATGGCGTGAACCCGGGAGGTGGAGCTTGCAGTGAGTCAAGATCCCGCCACTGCACTCCAGCCTGCGCGACAGAGTGAGACTCCATCTCAATTAGGGCCAGGCATGGTGGCTCACGCCTGTAATCCCAGCACTTTGGGAGGCCGAGGCAGGTGGATCACCTAAGGTCAGGAGTTCGAGACCAGCCTGGCCAACATGGCAAAACCCTGTCTCTACTAAAAATACAAAAATAAATTAGCCAGGTGTGGTGGCACACGCCTGTAATCCCAGCGACTCGGGAGGCTGACGCAGGAGAATCACTTGAACCTGGCAGGCGGAGGTTGCAGTGAGCTGAGATCATGCCATTATGCTCTAGCCTGGGCAACAAGAATGAAACTACATCTCAAAATACATACATACATACATACAGTTAACCGAGCATGGTGGCATGCGCCTGTAAGCCCAGCTACTTGGGAGGCTGAGGCATGAGAATCGCTTGAACCTGAGAGGTGGAGGTTGCAGTGAACCAAGATGGCACCACTGCACTCCAGCCTGGGTGACAGAGTGAGACTGTTTCAAAAAGATTCAGGAGCCAGACTGAACACTTACTGCTAGGTTAACTTTGGCTAAGTTCCTCAGTGATTCCCATAACAATTTCCTTGTTTGTAAATAGATAACAGAGTTCCTACCCACCCTCTTTTTTTTTTTTTTCTTCAGTAGTAGAGATAGGGTTTCACCATGTTGGCCAGGCTGGTCTCAAACTCCTGACTCCAGGTGATTCACCCACCTCCCAAAGTGTTGGGATTACAGGTGTGAGCCACTGCACCGGGCCTACCCTCTCTTTTTTTTGAGACAGGGTGTCACTGTTGCCCAGGCTCGAGTACAGTGGCAAGATTACAGCTCACTACAGCCTTGACCTCCTGGGCTCAAGTGATCCTCCCACCTCAGCCTCTGAAGTAGCTGGAACTACAGGTGCTCCATCATGCCCAGCTAATTTTTTTTTCTTTTTGAAAGAGAATCTTGCTTTGTCGCCCAAGTTGGAGTGCAGTGGTGCAATCTCGGCTCACTGCAAGCTCCACCTCCTGGGTTCACACCATTCTCCTGCCTCAGCCTCCCGACTAGCTGGGACTACAGGCACCCACCACCACAGCCAGCTAATTTTTTGTATTTTTAGTAAAGATGGGGTTTCACCGTGTTAGCCAGGATGGTTTCGATCTCCTGACCTCGTGATCCACCTGCCTTGGCCTCCCAAAGTGCTGGGATTACAGGCGTGAGCTACCGTACCTGACCTTTTTTTTTTTTTTTTGAGACGGAGTCTTGCTCTGTCACCCAGGCTGGAGTGCAGTGGCGCGATCTTGGCTCACTGCAAGCTCTGCCTCTCAGGTTCACGCCATTCTCCTGCCTCAGCCTCCCGAGTAGCAGGAACTACAGGTGCTAGCCACCACGCCTGGCTAATTTTTTTGTATTTTAGGTAGAGACGAGGTTTCACCGTGTTAGCCAGGATGGTCTCGATCTCCTGACCTCATGATCTACCTGCCTCGGCCTCCCAAAGTGCTGGGATTACAGGTGAGCCACCGCGCCCAGCCATGCCCAGCTAATTTTTAAATTTTTTATACAGTGAAGGTTTCACTATATTGCCTGACTGGTGTCTAACTCCTGAAATCAAATGATCTACCTGCTTTGGCCTCCCCAAATGCTGAGATTACAAGCTTGAGCCACCAAGCCCGGCCTATCCCGTCTCTAACAAAAAAGAAGCATAGTGCGGTGGCTCACACCTGCAACCCCAGCACTGTGGGAGGCCATGGTGGGCAGATCTCTTGAACCCAGGAGTTTGAGACCAGTCTGCCTGGGCAACACGGTGAAATCCAGTTCCTACAAAAAATTTTAAAAATTAGCCGGTTGTGATGGCATGCCGTGGTTCAGCTACTTGGGAGGCTGAGATGGGAGAATTGCTTGAGCCCTGGAAGTTGAGGCTGCAGTGAGCCATGATTGTGCCACTGCACTCCAATCTGGGCAACAGAGTGAGCCTTATCTCTAAATAAATAAATGAAGAGGTAGAGTCATGCTCTGTTGCCCAGGTCTGACTTGAACTCCTGGGCTGAAGTGATCCTCCCGCCTCAGCTTCCTCAGTAGCTGGGGCAACAGGCATATGCCACCATACTCAGCTTTGTTGGTTTCATTTCTTGTCCCCAAGGGTCTCTTCTGCATTCCCCTGCCCTTTGTATGGTTCAAGTCCTCCCCTGTGTGGTGGGTGCTAATCCCAGGTTTGGGGTATAAGACTGAGCTACAGCCATGGTAAGATGGTCACGTGAACTTTTCTCACACAGTGGTGATGCTGAAAGACCTCAACCCCAAAATGCTATTTTCCTCATTTCTTTTTTTTTTTTTTTTGAGACGGAGTCTCGCTCTGTCGCCCAGGCTGGAGTGCAGTGGCGCGATCTCGGCTCACTGCAAGCTCCGCCTCCCGGGTTCACGCCATTCTCCTGCCTCAGCCTCCCGATTAGCTGGGAATACAGGCGTCCACCACTACACCCGGCTAATTTTTTGTATATTTAGTAGAGACGGGGTTTCACCGTGTTAGCCAGGATGGTCTCGATCTCCTGACCTCGTGATCCACCCGCCTTGGCCTCCCAAAGTGCTGGGATTACAGGCGTGAGCCACCGCCGGCCTATTTTCCTCATTTCTTTAGGCCCCATTTCCATACCAGGAGTGGAGCAACTTCAGTAATAAACAGTCCTCCTTCCCATCCTCCCAGGCTGAACTCCCCAGCTTGCAGTTACTCTAATAGCGGCTAGCCTGCTACTTCAGCTACTGTAGGCAGTGAGCCTCCTAAGGCTTGGCCTCAGCCTGTCTCCCCACAGAAATGGGAGACAAGAATCCTTGGAATCCTTACCCACTGGCCAGTGTGCTGGCCCTCCAGGTGACACCTCTACCTGCCAGTTGCTTAGGCTAGACCCTTGGAATCTGCCTGACTGCTCTCCTGTTCTCACATGCTACATCTAATTTGTCAGCAAATCATACTGTCTGTATCTTAGAAATGACACGAGGATCTGTGTCTCACACCTTTACTGCTGCTCCATCCTGGTGGGAGCCACCATTGGCTCTCACCTAGACAACTGCAACTGTCTCCTACCTGGTCTCCTGGCTTCCACTTTTGCCCGTTACAGGCTCTCTCCACACAGCAGCCAGAAGGTTCCTTCCAAATCAGGAGTCAGGTCATGTCTCCCCTCTTCTGAAGATCCTGTAACAGCTGCCATTTCACTCAGAGTAAAAGTCTCCATCTTACAAGGGCCACCCAACAAGGTCCTCCCAGTCTAGCTCTGTCAACTTTCTGACCTCATCTTCTACACCTGAGGTCAGGGGTTGGGGACCAGCCTGGCCAACATGGTGAAACCCCATTTCCACTCTGCTTCAGCCATGCTACAGAAACCCAGGAGCTGCTTGGAGCTCTTTTGTCAGTGTTCGAGGAGTAAAATTTCTACCCATTGGCCAGAGTCACAGCCGCAGGCTTTGTGGGGTACACCCAAACCTGCACCAACAGAACTCATGGATGAAATTTGCATCTTTTGGGTTGTGAGGAAATTCTAGAGCCCAGAAATAACCTTAAAAACTTTTGGGGCTGGGTGCAGTGTCTCATGCCTGTAATTCCAGCGCTTTGGGAGGCCGAAGCAGGTGGATCACTTGAGGCCAGGAGTTTGAGACCAACCTGGTCAACATGGCGAAACCCTGTCTCTACTAAAAATACAAAAATTAGCCAAGTGTGGTGGTGCACACCTGTAATCCCAGATACTCTGATGGCTGAGGCATGAGAATTGCTTGAACCCAGGAGGTGGAGGTTGCAGTGAGCCAAGATTGAACCCCTGCACTCCAGCCTGGGCAAAAGCATGAGACTCTGTCTCAAAAAAAACAAAACCAACAACTAGTGGTACGTAATGTTTACATATTAGTTGTATGTAACATTAATATATGTTTACATACTGGTAGTATGTAAGCATATGTAATGTGCCTGGCCTCTCATTTCTTATTTTTGCATGTCTGAAATATTTCTTAGTATCTTAAAAACATAGCTTGGGGGCTGGGTATGGTGACTCATGCCTGTAATCCCAGCACTTTGGGAGGCCAAGGTGGGAGGATCACCTGAGCCCAGGAGTTCGAGACCAGCCTGGGTAATATTGCAAGACACCATCTCTAAAAATAAAAACCAAAAAAAACAACAAAGATACACAATAAACAAGATAAACAGCAGACCAACTAAATGAAGAATTAGTGAGTTGGAGGGAGAAATAATCCATAATGTGGAGCAGAGAAATCAGAGGTGATATGAAAAGGAAGTTTTGAAACATGAAGGATGGAATGAGATACTCCAACTCCAGAGCTGCTTTGTTTTTGTTTTTGAGATGGGAGTCTTGCTCTGTTGCCCAGGCTGGAGTGCAGTGGCATGATCTCAGCTCACTGCAACCTACGCCTCCCAGGTTCAAGCGATGCTCCTGACTCAGCCTCCTGAGTAGCTGGGATTACAGGTGGTGCCACCACGTCTGGATAATTTTTGTATTTTTAGTAGAGACAAGGTTTCACCGTGTTGGTCAGGTTGGTCTTGAACTCCTGACCTTGTGATTCACCTGCCTCGCCCTCCCAAAGTGCTGGGATTACAGGCGTGAGCCACTGCACCCAGCCTACTTTGTTTGTTACATGGATTTGTTACCTGCAGCCAGAACAGCCACAGAGCCATCATGAGCTCTGCTGCCCAATGGCGTACAGGGGTACCTGGTTTTTAGCATCTCAGGCCCATCTGTTAGTTTGTTGATTGTAGTACTTTCTTTTCATTAGCATTCTACTTTCCCATGACTTTTTTTGGGGGGGAGTGGGGTGGACAGGGTCTCACTGTGTTGTCCAGGCTGTAGTGCACTGGAGCCATCTTGGCTCACTGCAGCCTCTGCCTCCTGAGCCACCAAGCCTGGCTGTTTTTTTTTTTTTTTTTTTTAATTCTTGTGTTATTTTCCAAAGACTATATAAAGAAACAAATTATCCTAAGGGTTAAAGTACCTGCTGACTCTTGAAATGTTAAACTTTATTGCCTCCAGTCAGGTGAACCTCAGGTGGAAGTGGGTCACATTCTAGGCTGGCTGTTGCCTGTCTTAAATTCTAAAGAATGTAGTGAAGATAAAGGTGTCAGCTGATAATCCCCAGTTATTTACTGATGGCAGATAATAAACTGGGAAGGGGGAGCCTTCTTCAAAGGGCCTTGCAGCATTAGCTGGTACCACCTTGAAACAGGGAGCAAGTCCCATCTCCTAGTGCCACCCAGGGAATACCTGTGCTCCACACTGGGTTGATTGCCTCTAAAAGAGGCAGAGGAACTGTTATAAAACAAAAAAAAAACTTTTAAAAGTTTTGGTTGGGCGTGGTGGCTAATGTCTGTAATCCCAGTACTTTGGGAGGTCAAGGCAGGAGGATTGCTGGAGTGCAGGAGTTTGAGGCCAGCCTGGGCGGAGACCACTTCTCTACAAAATTAAAAAATTAGGTGTACTCCCAAGCACCTGTAGTCCCAGCTACTTGGGAGGCTGAGATGGAAGGATCACTTGAGCCCAGAAGGTCGAGGCTACAGAGCCATGATTGTTCCACTCACTGCTCTCCGGCCTGTGCGACAGACCAAGACCCTGTATCTAAAAGGAAGAAAAAAGAAAATTGGCAAAAACAATGATATTAGCATCTGTATGTACTTATATTTGGTAGGATCATTTCAAAGTATATTAAAGAGATTATGACATTTTATCCCTTTGTATTTGAGTATGCATCTCCAAAAAATAAGGATGTTCATCTGCATATTCACAATACTATTATACCTGAGAAAAGCAAATTTAATTCCCTAATAGCACTTAATATTCAGGCCAGTTACCATGGCTCACACCTGTAGTCCCAGCACTTTGGAAGGCCGAGGTTGGTGGATTGCTTGAGCCCAGGAGTTCAAGACCAGCCTGGGCAACATGTCGAGACCTCGTGTCTTCAAAAAATACAAAAATTAGCAGGTGTGGTGGCACACACCTGTGGTTCCAACCACTCATGGGGCTGAGGTGGGAGGATTGCTTGAGCCTGGGAGGTCAAGGCTGAAGTGAGCTATGATTGCAGTACTGCACTCCAGGCTGGGTGACAGAGTGAGACCCTGTCTTTAAAAGAAGTGTGTTGTTGAGCACAGTGGCTCACGGCTGTAATCCCAGCACTTTGGGAGGCGGAGGCAGGTGGATCACCTGAGGTCAGGAGTTTGAGACCAGCCTGGCCAACATGGAGAAACCCCATCGCTACTAAAAATACAAAAATTAGCCGGGTGTGGTGGTGAACACCTGTAATCCCAGCTACTCTTGAGAATCTGAGGCAGGAGAATTACTTGAATCTGGGAGTCGGAGGTTGCAGTGAGCCGAGATCATGCCACTGCACTCTAGCCTGGGTGACAGAGCGAGACTCTGTCTCAAAAAAAAAAAAAAAAAAAAGTGTGTGTGTGAGTGTGGCTGGGGGGAGAGAGTGAGAGAGTAGAGGAGGAAAAAGTTTAAAACAGTTTGGGAGTTTGGAGAGTTTTTCGTGAAACACAGACTCATCAACCTTTTTATTTTTTCACTCTAATTTTTTTTTTCTTCAGACAGAGTCTTGCTCTGTTTCCCAGGCTGGAGTGCAGTGGCACCATCTCAGCTCACTGCAAGCTCTGCCTTCCAGGTTCACTCCATTCTCCTGCTTCAGCTTCCCAAGTAGCTGGGACTACAGGCTCCCGCCACCACGCCCGGCTAATATTTTGTATTTTTAGTAGAGACAGTGTTTCACCGTGTTAGCCAGGAGGTCTGGATCTCCTGACCTTGTGATCCGCCCGCCTTGGCCTCCCAAAGTGCTGGGATTACAGGCATGAGCCACCGTGCCCGGCCTAAAAAAATTTTTTATAAAAGTATTTGACCTAATGTGCTGTGGGTTTCTTATTTGTTTGTTTTTGAGACAAGTTTCTTGCCCTGTCGCCCAGGTTTGAGGGCAGTGGTGCGGTCTTGGTGCACTACAGCCTCTACCTCCTGGGCTCAAGTGACCCTCTCACCTCAGCTTCCCATGTAGCTGAAACTACAGGTGTGGGCCACTGCCCCAGCTAATTTTTAAATTTTTTGTAGAGATGAGGTCTTGCCATGTTGCCCAGGCTGGTCTCAAACTCCTGGGCTCAAATGATCTGCCCGTCTTGGCCTTCCAAAGTACTGGGACTGGGATTACAGGCATGTAATTACCGCCTCTGGCCAGCTTTTTTTTTTTTTTTTTTTTTTTGAGACAGAGTCTCGCTCTTGTTGCCGAGGCTGGAGTGCAGTGGCGTGATCTCGGCTCACTTCAGCCTTCCCCTCTCGGGTTCAAGCGATTCTCCTGCCTCAGCCTCCTCAGTAGCTGGCATTACAGGCATGCACTACCACGCCTGGCTAATTTTTGTATTTTTAGTAGAGACGGGGGTTTCACCATGTTGGCCAGGCTGGTCTTGAACTCCTGACCTCAGGTGATCCGCCCGCCTTGGCCTCCCCAAAGTGCTGGGTGGCGTGAGCCACTGTGCCCAGCCTAATTTTGTATTTTTAGTAGAGACTGGGTTTCTCCATGTTGGTGAGGCTGGTCTTGAACTCCTGACCTCAGGTGATTCGCCTGCCTTGGCCTCCCAAAATGCTGGGATTACAGACATGAGCCACCGCGCCCGGCCTCTTTTTTTTTTTTTTTTGGGACAGAGTCTCACTGTGTCACCAGGCTGGAGTGCAGTGGCATGATCTCGGCTTACTGCAACCTCTGCCTCCCAGGTTCAAGCGATTCTTCTGCCTCAGCCTCCCGAGTAGCTGAGACTACAGGGGCATGCCACCACACCCAGCTAATTTTTGTATTTTTAGTAGAGACCAGCCTGGTCAACATGGTGAAAACCCATCTCTACTAAAAATACAAAAAATTAGCCAGGTGTGGTGGTGGGCACCTATAATCCCAAATACTCAGGAGGCTGAGGCAGGAGAATCACTTGAACCTGGGACACGGAGGTTGCAGTGAGTTGAGATCACGCCACTGCACTCCAGCCTGCCTGGGCAACAGAGCAAGACTCTGTCTCAAAAAAAAAAAAAAAATCCCAGAGTATTAGGAAAAGGAAGACCTATACTTCTACTATGGTAATTTGAGTCTGTTGTGGTTTTGTTGTTGTTGTTGTTGTTGTTGGAAAGATGTCCAAGCCATTGCTTTGATCTTCCTTCCCAATCCTTTCTTGGGCAAAAATTATTAGATGGCTATGGGTGGGCAGGCCTGTAACTCTAGCACTTTGGGAGGCCGAGCGGGTGGGGTGGTCAAGGATCACTTGAGCCCAGGAGTTTAAGACCAGCCTGGGCAACATAGTGGGACCCTGTTTCTACAAAAATGAAAATATTAGCTGGGCTTGGTGGCAAGTGCCTGTAGTCCCAGCTACTCAGGAGGCTGAGGTGGGAAGATTGCTTGAACCCAGGTGGTCAAGGTTGCAGTGAGCTGTGATCATGCTACTGCACTCCAGCCTGGGTGACAGAGTAAGACCCTGTCTCAAAAAAAAAAAAAAAATACTTTTTCCTATTCCCTCCTTGTCATGACTTTTGGTTGGAAGGATTACATTAGCAAAAAAGTATCCATGGTCCCTGGTCCCTGGTATTTGCTGTTCAGGTCAGTGTTCATTGTTACTGTCTCTTTCCCTTATTTAAGGGACAGCTGAGAAGACAGAGAGAGCTTGAGCTGGTTTGATCCTAAGCAAAGGGGCTGGGAGTGGGGATCAATGTGTGAAGGGAAGGAGGGCCATGCAAGGTGAAAGGGGATGTTGGGGAAAGGGTTTCATGCTAGAATTTGGCTGCTGATCCAGCGGGCACTCACCAGGCAATGATGTGCAAAGTCCACCGTAAAAAGAAAACAAAACTTCAGGACTCTAAGTTTATGCCAAGATGGAAGTTAAGCCTTGGAGACTGAGTCATGTAGCATGTTTGCAATTCTGCTTCTTACAGACTCTCCTCCTCATTGCTCTTGTTCTGTAATGAGACCTCCTTTCCAATCACTGATCTTTGTTGTAGATTAACTGCCTCCTTTATTGTCCTGTACCTGACTCAGACCAGATGGCACCCAAGACCCCATGACTATTGCATCTTCAGTGTGGAATGTAAAAAACACCTTCCCCCACCCCCCAAAAAAGAAAAAAAAAATTGACTAATCAGATCATTGTAACTATGCAATAAGCCTTACCATAGAACTGAGAGTTGACAGCGTGCTGACAGCCCTCGCAGCCCTTGCTGGCTCTCGGCGCCTCCTCGGCCTTGGCGCCCATTCTGGCCGCGCTTGAGGAGCCCTTCAGCCCGCCACTGCACCGTGGGAGCCTTCTCTGGGCTGGCCGAGGCCGGAGCCGGCTCCCTCGGCTTGCGGGGAGGTGTGGAGGGAGAGGCGCGGGCGGGAACCGGGGCTGCACGCAGCGCTTGTGGGCCAGCGCAAGTTCCGGGTGGGCGTGGGCTCGGCTGCCCCGCTCTTGGAGCGGCAGGCTGGCCCACAAGCCCCGGGCAGGGCAGTGAGGGGTTTAGCACCTGGGCCAGCAGCTTGCTGTGCTCGATTTCTCACGGGGCCTTAGCTGCCTCACCACAGGACAGGACTCAGGACCTGCAGCCCGCCATGCCTGAGCCCCAACCCCGCCGTGGGCTCCTGTGCTGCAGAGCCTCCCCGACGAGCGCCACCCCCTGCTCCACGGCCCCCAGTCCCATCAACCTCCCAAGGGCTGAAGAGTGCAGGCGCATGGGGCAGGACTGGCAAGCAGCTCCACCTGCGGCCCCAGTGCGGGATCCACTGGGTGAAGCCAGCTGGGCTCCTGAGTGTGGTGGGGACTTGGAGAACCTTTATGTCTAGCTAAGGGATTGTAAATACACCAATCGGCACTCTGTATCTAGCTCAAGGTTTGTAAATATACCAATCAGCATCCTGTGTCTAGCTCAGGGTTTGTAAATGCACCAATTGACACTGTATCTAGCTAATCTAGTGAGGACATGGAGAACTTTTGTGTCTAGCTCAGGGATTGTAAACGCACCAATCAGCACCCTGTCAAAATGGACCAATCAGCTCTCTGTAAAACGGACCAATCAGCTCTCTGTAAAATGGACCAATCAGCAGGATGTGGGTGGGGCCAGATAAGGGAATAAAAGCAGGCTGCCTGAGTGAGTAGTGACATCCCGCTCTGGTCATTTTCCATAGAGTGGAAAGTTTGTTATTTCCGTCTTTGCAATAAATTTTATTGCTATTTGTTCTTTGGGTCCACACTACTTTTATGAGGTGTAACACTCACCGCAGGGGTATGCAGTTTCACTCCTGACGCTAGCGAGAGCACGAACCCCCCGGGAGGAACAAACAACTCCAGAGGCGCCGCATTTAAGAACTGTAACACTCCCCGTGAGGGTCTGCGGCCTCATTCTTTAAATCAATGAGACCAAGAACCCACCAATTGTGAACACAGAACAATGTTGAAATTCTAAGTTTCCATAAACTTTCTGTTTATATAAGCGATTCCAAACTTCTACACTTTTGGAACATAGACTAATATTCTTTGGAATCTTCAGCTCTAGACGGGCCACTTCCTCAACATTTGCAGTTGGATAAACTCTTTTTTTTTTTTTTTTTTTTTTTTTTAAATTTATTTTTTTATTGATAATTCTTGGGTGTTTCTCACAGAGGGGGATTTGGCAGGGTCATGGGACAATAGTGGAGGGAAGGTCAGCAGATAAACAAGTGAACAAAGGTCTCTGGTTTTCCTAGGCAGAGGACCCTGCGGCCTTCCGCAGTGTTTGTGTCCCTGATTACTTGAGATTAGGGATTGGTGATGACTCCCAACGAGCACCCTGCCTTCAAGCATCTGTTTAACAAAGCACATCTTGCACCGCCCTTAATCCATTTAACCCTGAGTGGACACAGCACATGTTTCAGAGAGCACAGGGTTGGGGGTAAGGTCACAGATCAACAGGATCCCAAGGCAGAGGAATTTTTCTTAGTGCAGAACAAAATGAAAAGTCTCCCATGTCTACTTCTTTCTACACAGACACGGCAACCATCCGATTTCTCAATCTTTTCCCCACCTTTCCTGCCTTTCTATTCCACAAAGCCGCCATTGTCATCCTGGCCCGTTCTCAATGAGCTGTTGGGCACACCTCCCAGACGGGGTGGTGGCCGCGCAGAGGGGCTCCTCACTTCCCAGTAGGGGCGGCCGGGCAGAGGCGCCCCTCACCTCCCGGACGGGGCGGCTGGCCGGGCGGGGGGGCTGACCCCCCCCACCTCCCTCCCGGACGGGGCGGCTGGCCGGGCGGGGGGCTGACACCCCCACCTCCCTCCCGGACGGGGCGGCTGGCCGGGCAGAGGGGCTCCTCACTTCCCAGTAGGGGCGGCCGGGCAGAGGCGCCCCTCACCTCCCGGACGGGGCGGCTGGCCGGGCGGGGGGGCTGACCCCCCCCACCTCCCTCCCGGACGGGGCGGCTGGCCGGGCGGGGGGCTGACACCCCCACCTCCCTCCCGGACGGGGCGGCTGGCCGGGCAGAGGGGCTCCTCACTTCCCAGTAGGGGCGGCCGGGCAGAGGCGCCCCTCACCTCCCAGACGGGGCGGCTGGCCGGGCGGAGGGCTGACCCCCCCACCTCCCTCCCGGACAGGGCGGCTGGCCAGGCGGGGGGCTGACCCCCCCACCTCCCTCCCAGACCGGGCGGCTGGCCGGGTGGGGGGGCTGACCCCCCCATCTCCCTCCCGGACGGGGTGGCTGGCCGGGCTGAGGGGCTCCTCACTTCCCAGTAGGGGTGGCCGGGCAGAGGCACCCCTCACCTCCCGGACGGGGCGGCTGGCCGGGCGGGGGGCTGACCCCCCCACCTCCCTCCCGGACGGCACGGCTGGCCAGGTGGGGGGCTGACCCCCCCACCTCCCTCCCGGATGGCACGGCTGGCCGGTCGGGGGGGCTGACCCCCCACCTCCCTCCCAGATGGGGCGGCTGGCCGGGCGGGGGGTTGACCCCCCCCACCTCCCTCCCGGACGGGGTGGCTGCCGGGCGGAGATGCTCCTCACTTCCCAGATGGGGTGGCTGCGGGGCGGAGAGGCTCCTCACTTCTCAGACGGGGCAGTTGCCGGGCGGAGGGGCTCCTCACTTCTCAGACGGGGTGGTTGCCAGGCAGAGGGTCTCCTCACTTCTCAGACGGGGCGGCCGGGCAGAGACGCTCCTCACCTCCCAGACGGGGTCTCGGCCGGGCAGAGGCACTCCTCACATCCCAGATGGGGCGGCGGGGCAGAGGCGCTCCCCACATCTCAGACGATGGGCGGCCGGGCAGAGACGCTCCTCACTTCCTAGATGTGATGGCGGCTGGGAAGAGGCGCTCCTCACTTCCTAGATGGGATGGCGGCCGGGCGGAGACGCTCCTCACTTTCCAGACTGGGCAGCCAGGCAGAGGGGCTCCTCACATCCCAGACGATGGGCGGCCAGGCAGAGACGCTCCTCACTTCCCAGACGGGGTGGCGGCCGGGCAGAGGCTGCAATCTCGGCACTTTGGGAGGCCAAGGCAGGCGGCTGGGAGGTGTAGGTTGTAGTGAGCCGAGATCACGCCACTGCACTCCAGCCTGGGCACCATTGAGCACTGAGTGAACGAGACTCCGTCTGCAATCCCGGCACCTCGGGAGGCTGAGGTTGGCGGGATCACTCGCGGTTAGGGGCTGGAGACCTGCCCGGCCAACACAGCGAAACCCCGTCTCCACCAAAACCAGTCAGGCATGGCGGCGCGTGCCTGCAATGGCAGGCACTGGGCAGGCTGAGGCAGGAGAATCAGGCAGGGAGGTTGCAGTGAGCCGAGATGGCAGCAGTACAGTCCAGCTTCGGCTCCGCATGAGAGGGAGACCGTGGGGAGAGGGAGACAGAGGGAGAGGGAGGGAGAGCCGGTGGATAAACTCTTTAAACTAGATTCTAAGCCTGGTACAGTGGTATGTGCCTGCAGTCCCAACTCTATCTACTCTAGGAGGCTGAGGCAGGAGGATCCCTTGAACTTCAGTCTGAATCTAACCTGGGCAACATGGCAAGACTCCATCTGTAAAAAGCAACAACACTAGATTCTCAGCTTTTGTTCGTTTGTTTAAGACAGTCTCGCTGTGTCTCCCAGACTGGAATGCAATGGTATGATCTTGGCCCACTGTAACCTCTCGCTCCCGGGTTCAAGCGATTCTCCTTCCTCAGTCTCCTGAATAGCTGGGACTACAGGCGCGACCCACAACACCCAGCTAATTTTTGTATTTTTGGTAGAGACGGGGTTTCGTCATGTTGACCAGGATGGTCTTGAACTCCTGACTTCAGGTGATTCGCTTGCCTCTGCCTCCCAAAGTGCTGGGATTATAGGTGTGAGCCACAGCGCCT
This sequence comes from Homo sapiens, assembly GCF_000001405.40. Lineage (NCBI taxonomy): Eukaryota > Metazoa > Chordata > Mammalia > Primates > Hominidae > Homo > Homo sapiens. The sequence continues at coordinate 3,197,922 of NT_167247.2, forward strand.
GGCCTAGATTCTGAACTTTTTAATTATTATTTTTTAGATTGATAACACTTACCCCGATTTTTTTTTTTTTGAGGGAGAGTCTCGCTCCATAGCCCAGGCTGGAGTGCAGTGGCATGATTTCAACTCACTGCAATCTCCGTCTCCCAGGTTCAAGCGATTCTCCTGCCTTAGTCTCCTGAGTAGCTGGGATTGTAGGTGCCTGCCACAATGCCTGGCTAATTTTTTGAATTTTTAGTAGAGACAGTGTTTCACCATGTTGGCCAGACTGGTCTTGAACTCCTGACCTCAAGTGATCCCCCTTCCTCAGCCTCCCAAAGTGCTAGGATTACAGGCGTGAGCCACCGTGCCCAGCCAACTTGCCCCAATTTTTAAATAACTTATTTTATTTTATTTTTTAAATATTTCCTTGGCCGGGTGGGGTGGCTCACACCTGTAATCCCGGCACTTTGGGAGGCCGAGGCGGGCGTATTGCCTGAGGTCAGGAGTTCGAGACCAGTCTGGCCAACATGGTGAAACCGGGTCTCTACTAAAAATACCAAAAAATTAGCCGAGCGTGGTGGCAGGCGCCTGTAATCCCAGCTACTTAGGAGGCTGAGGCAGGGGAATTGCTTGAACCAGCGAGGCAGAGGTTGCGGGGAGCCAAGATTGCGCCACTGCACTCCAGCCTGGGCAACAGAGCAAGACTCCGTCTCAAAAAAAAAAAAAAAATTTCCTCACAGAGTAGAGCTAACTCATAAGCAGTGTGCCCAGAGTCGGCCCACTTTGTCCCATTAGTACAAACAAGCTCTTTCCCCTTTCAGTCTCCTGCCACTTGTCCCAATCTTTCCTGTGTATTTTTTTTTTTTTTAAGATGAAGTCTTGCTCTGTCGCCCAGGCTGGAGGGCAGTGGCATAATCTCGGCTCACTGCAACCTCTGCCTCCCAGGTTCAAGTGAGTCTCCTGCCTCAGGCTCCCGAGTAGCTGGGACTACAGGCGTGTGCCACCACATATGGCTAATATTTGTATTTTTAGTAGAGATGGGGTTTTACCATGTTGGCCAGGCTGGTCTAGAACCCCTGACCTTGTGATCCGCCCACCTCGGCCTCCCAAAGTGCTGGGATTACAGGCGTGAGCCACTGCACCTGACCCTTCCCTGTGTATTAAAAGAAAAAAAAAAAGCTGGAAAAAAAAGGTTCTTTAACTATTTCTGCAACTTTGACGTACATATAATTCATTTTAGCTGGACACTTGCACTTGTTTAAAAGTTCTGACCCTGGTTTTCAAACTTAAACGTATTACGAATCACCCAGAAGGCTTGTTAATGCCTGGTGGCTCCAACACCAGAGCTTCAGATTCCATGGGTCTGTAAAGAGTGAGGGAGGGAAGGTCAAGCTTTTTTTCTTTCTTGAAGGTTTTTTGTTTTGGTTTGGTTTTTTGGAGATGAGGTCTCACTCTGTCACCTAGGTTGGTGTGCAGTGGTGCAATCATAGCTCACTACTGCCTCGAACTCCTGGGGTCAAAGAGATCAAGCCATCCTCCCATGTAGCTAGGACTATAGGTGTGCGTTACCATGCTTGGCTAATTTTTAAATTTTTTAGACATGGGGTATTGCCATGTTGCCCAGGATGCCCTTTAATTTGATCATCCTGCCTTGGTCTCCCGAAGTGCTAGCATTACAGATCTGAGCCACCACACCTAGCCAGGAAGGTAGTGTCTGTCTCTCAAGCCTCCCAGCACTTCTGTTTCTAACAGGTAGTAGTTCATGGGTCAGACATTCATAGTGTCCTTTCCTTTTTGTCTTCCACTATTTCTTTTTCTTTTTTTTTTTGAGCAAGGGCTCTCCCACTTACCTGCAGGCTGAACAGATTCTTTTCATAAGCATCTGCCTGGGGAATATTTTCTTACATAATTTGCCATAGGAAGTGCTCACTTCTCTGTCAGGCTAGCTGGGACAGGATTCCCATCTGCATTTCACACACTTGCACCCTATTTCATGGAGGATGGTATCCTACCCCATGTTAGAAATATAAAACAGCGTGGATTTTTTTTTTTTCAGACGGAGTCTCACTCTGTTGCCGAGGCTGGTGTGCAGTGCTGTGATCTCAGCTCACTGCAAACTCCGCCTCCTGGTTCAAGTGATTCTCCTGCCTCAGCCACCTGAGTAGCTGGGACTATAAGTGTAAGCCAACACGCCTGGCTAGTTTTTGTATTTTTAGTAGAGATGGGATTTCACCATATTGGCCAGGCTGGTCTCGAACTCCTGACCTTGTGATCCGCCCACCTTGGCCTCCCAAAGTGCTGGGATTATATGTGTGAGCCACCACGCTTGGCCAAGTGTGGATTTTAAAATATCTTACAGGCTGGGTGCAGGGGCTCAAGCCTGTAATCCCAGCACTTTGAGAGAACATGGCCGGCAGATTGCTTGAGCTCAGCAGTTTGAGACCAACCTAGGCAATATAGTGAGACTTTGTCTCTACTAAAAATTAAAAAAATCAGCCCGCCGGCACCATGGCTCATGCTTGTAATCACAACACTTTGGGAGGCCAAGGCGGGTGGATCACCTGAGGCCAGGAGTTTGAGACCAGCCTGGCCAACATGGTGAAACTCCGTCTCTACTAAAAATACAAAAATTAGCCGGGTGTGGTGGTGGGCACCTGTAATCCCAGCTATTCGGGAAGCTGAGGCAGAAGAATCGCTTGAACCTGGGAGGCAGAGGTTGCAGTGAGCCGAGATCGCACCACTGCACTCTAGCCTGGGTGCCAGAGCAAGACTCCATCTCAAAAAAAAAAAAATTAAATTAAAAAATGAATAAATAAAAAATAAAAAATATCTTATGGCACTCCCTTCATACTCATTACACCTGTGAAGATCAACCTGTTTCTCGGTGATAAGAAGGAATGTAGGCTGGGTGCGGTGGCTCATAGCTGTAACCTCAGCACTTTGGGAAGCTGAGGCATGAGGATTGCTTAAGCACAGGAGTTCCATACCAGCCTGGGCAACATAGCGCAACCTTGTCTCTACTGAAAATAAAAATTAAAAAAATTAACCAGGCATGGTGTCACTGACCTGTAGTCCCAACTACTCCGGAGGCTGAGACGTGAGGATCACTTGAGCCCAGGAGGTTGAGGCTTCAGTGAGCCGTGATTGTGCAACTGCACTCCAGCCTGGGTGACAGAGCGAGCCCTGTCTCAAAAAAAGCAACAACAAAAAAAGAGGGCATGTCAAAAGGAAAAGAGGATTTGATTTGCCAAAGTCAGATTTTCACAGGCAGTACGCACATCAGGTCTCTCCCCAGAACTCACCCAGGCTCACAAGGATACATGAGGAAAACAGACACGAAGATGTGCATTGACAGAACCATAGAGACTCTACAAATATTCATTATCCTTCATTAAAAATTTTAAGTTACAAACATTTTGATTGATAGTCAGTCATGGTGGTGCACCTAGTCCTTACTCTGAAACCAAATATCCTGCCATCTGGGGACTTTCACCAGCCCTGTCGGTTATCTTACCGCAACACCAAAGAGGAGGCTCAGCCTTCCCCAGTTCCCTGAGTTCACATTGATTCAATTCTACAGCTCACTAGACCTGCCCAAGACAGGACCAATCAATGTCCCGGGAGGGCAGAGAGGGTGGTGGGGCCACACTTAGCCATATGGAAAGACAGTATTCTCAGATGAGGGCAGGACTTTTTTGTGGGAGAGGACGCCTAGCTTTCAGTCCTAAAGGAAGTGATTTCCCTGGTAAAGGGAAGGTGATTTTGCCAAGGCTGGAGTCTAAAGGAAGATGGAACTGTCTTTCAGGCGTCTCCAGCAGACCCTCTACAGACCCGTGTTCCTGAAGGCAGAGTCCTGAAGGCAGAATACCCCTGTGGCAGTGGCACAGCTCAGAGTGTCCCATAGACACTGATTTTGGCCACGGAGATGCTCTCTGTGTAGTGGTTCCGGCCTTTCTCATACAGGACGTAGAGCTGGGGGGCCTGCTCCTCTCCATCCATGCTGCCCTCCAGGGTTGCCAGGGATGAATAGCCACTGGGGCCTGGCCATAGCTGGACTGTCTCTTTCCGCCATGAGGTACCATTGCTGAAGCTCCATCGCAGGGTCAGGTTCACTCCTGGGGAGAGCAGGAGAGTCAGGGAGAGAGGGTCTCTGCCCAGGCCTTGTCTAGACACAGGGCTCTCCCTGCTGACCCCACCCATGAGGCACTCACGGAACTCTGGATGTGCTGGGTTGGAGAAGAAGACAATGCCGGAGCTGGTGACTACAGCTCCTGCAGCTACCACAGGGTCCACGAGCTCAGGGTCGAAGGTCACATCACGGGGCCTTAGTGTATCACAGGCATCATAGCTGCGGAGGACAATTCGGCAGTGGCAGTGGTAGTTGTTCTGGTTTCGGGCATTGATGACGACTGAGCCATCTGGGAGCTCATAGGGCTGAGGGGAGAGGACAGGACCTCAGGGAGGGAACAGGGAAAATGCCCTGTCCCCGAGGGGAGCAAGGGTGTGTGGCACTGAGTGGAGCAGTCAGACCCTGGGTCTGTGCGTGAAATGATGTTCTGGAGGGCAGGGAGGGTCAAATGGGTAGGGAACATCTCATGGACTCCTGACCTGGCATTCATCAGGATTGAAATCATTTTCCTGCTTGGGCTGACCGTAGGGGATGCCGCTGACCCCACTTCCGTAGCGCCAGGAGGCACCATGATCATCGCTGAGGAGACAGAAGACTCCGTCCCGCTCCAGCGTCCCATGGCCACACACGATGAGGCGGCCCTTCCGTGGCTCCCGCTGTTTCTGTGGGAAAGGGAACTGGGTGTCACAGAAGGAGACTCTAGGGGCTCAGAGGCAGGGACAGAGAACCCACCACTTCCCAAATGCAATCACATGTATGGTCCCCTTGAGTTCAGCCCTTGCTCACTGAGGGTTCCAGTCAGATCCCATAAATACACACCCTGTTTGAATTAAGAAGCTCTCCCAGGGTGTACAGCTGGACATGTGCACCAGGGGCCCAGCCACAGGGTGCATGAGAGCTTAAACCCAACCTGTGCTCACTCGCCAAGCTGTGCACCCTGGCACAGGCTTGTGTCTGTCCAAAGAGGCAGTGCCTTTTTCTACTTTGCATGAGGGTATTGCATGGACTAACGCAGTCCTGTTGACAATGCCAAATGGGAAGCCAATGGCAGAGTTCCCTCTTCTCCTGATAATGTGTTCCTACCAGGATGCCCTGTCTTTCAAGGAATCCCACCCAAGCCAGAAAATCTGACTTCAGAGAATCTTCCCCTTGGAAAGGAGTCCATTTGGGGGTATCCCTCAGACTCTCCACAAGGCAGCCCCCTCCACCTATCTCCTAGGACAGAGACCTGAATACCAGAGCCCGGTCCAGGGGCAAACACTTCAGTGCCAATATCCAGGGAGAGATTCCGGGGTGTGCTCCAGGAAACACCATCATCCTTGCTCCATACCAACATGGTAGAGGCCACCTGGCAGCCGGCCTTGTGAGCACAAAGGGAGTAGAAAAGAAATACTACTCCTGTCTCAACATCGCTCACTACTGCCCCAAGGTTCAGCCCATCGGGGACATCCCCATCATTGACAATGAACGCTGTAGGAGACCATGTGCTGCCTGAAAAAAATTGGAGGAAGAAACCCAGAGTGAGCACTCTGCAGGTACCCTTTCTACCACTTCCCGTTAATTTCCCACCTTCTGCTAGGGACCTCAGGCCTTCCGATGGTCCCAGGGTGCAATCCAACACTTGCACTATCTATACCTCTTGTCCTGTTTTATTTTTCTCCATTGCATTTATCACCTTGCAACAGACAAAAAAGTTTACTTGTTTATTATGCTTGTCTGTCTCCTTCCAGTACAATTTAAATCCTGAGGGCAGAGATTTTTGATCTGTTTTGTTCGTGGCTATATTCATGAAACCTAAAATAGTGCCTGGTATAGGTATATAGTACCCAATAAATGTTTGCTAAGTGAATGTCCAACTCCTTGGTGATCCCAATTTCCAGATCACTGTCCTAGACACTTGCCCTTCTCGGGTTCCCTCTACCCCTCAGGGACTCAGGCAACCAACCCTCTAAGTTCCCCTATCCTCAGGGCCCTTGGGCTCATTGGGCTGCCCACCCATCCAACCTAGCACCGGCTCTTTCACCCAGACATCTTTATACCCTGGTCCATGGACCTCCGCAGGGCGATGAACTTGGCCCCCTCATCGGATGAGGACATTTTCCTCGCCTCAGCAAAGGCGAGAAGAGTGCCCCGCGGAGTGGCTGTGATGAGCGGGATGCGGAAGGTGTCCACTGAGCCGATCTGTCTCCCGCTCACCCACAGCAGTTGCTCCATGGTCACCAGCGGCTGCACCTGTCATGGGAGGAGGAAGGGTCAACAAAGACAAACTTGTCTTGGGGGTTTTAGGAACCCACGTTCCGATGGGAGAGGGAGGATCTAATGGGGATCCCGAGTAGGGGATGGGGTCCCAGAACAAGAAAGAGGAACACGAAGGGGAGTTTGGAGCGAAGCTGGAGGCTCGGAGCAGGGGAGGGTCTACGAAAGGAGAAGGCGCCTTCAGGGAGGGAAGGGGACCCCAAAAGAGGAAGGGGCTCGAATGAGGAGAAGGACGGGGACCCGGAGAGGGAGAGGGGCTGGGAGCGGTAGGAGGAAACGGGGTCTGGGAGAAAGAAAAGGGTCCTGTCGCGGAAAGTCGGCTCAGCCGCCCGCGTTCCGGGGGACACTAGGTGTCGATCACCTGCGCGGGTCGGGGATGGGGCTATGCAAAGGGTGACTCACCAGACCGAAGTCGTTCTCAGCCTTGGACCAGGAGGCTGCCAGAGACAGCAGCAGGAAGATCGCGGCAAACACCCAAACCCTACAGCCTCCCCAGAAGCCCAGAATCCGCGGCCCCCAGCGTCTGTCCGGGAGCGCCGTGCTGGGTCGCTCCCCAGTCATCTCTCCCCGCAGCTGCCGCGACCCTGGCAGCTAGACTCCACAGAGTCGGGAGTCAGCTGACCCGGACCCTTTAAAGCGCAGATGTCACCCTTAAGCCCGCCCCGGTCTGGAGGCCCCGCCGCGCTTCCCGGACTCTAATTGGTCTTCAAGTAGCTCATCTCCTCCCACGTGATCACGCAGCATCTCGAAGCTTGCCCTTCCGATTGGCCCTCTTGGAGGCCCTCTTGGAGGCCCGGAGCGCGTGACCCGAACGGGAAGCGGACTGGCTGGGGTGAAGAAGGGACTGGCACCATCCTTATTGGGCTTTTTGATTGGCCGCGGCACCAGGACACGTCACAGGGGCGGGGCCGATTTTAAAGAGCCGGGCGCGGAAAAAAAAAGGCCGCCTGTCGTCGTGGAGAGAATGAGTCACAGATTTACTGAGTTAACAAAATATCTTTAATAAAATCTTTTTGTTTGTTTGTTTTGTTTTGGAGACAGAGTCTGTCACCCAGGTTGGAGTGCAGTGGCGCGATCTCGGCTCACTGCAACCTCTGCCTCCCGGGTTCAAGCGATTCTCCTGCCTCAGCCTCCCGAGTAGCTGGGATGACAGGTGCATGCCACCACTCTCGGCTAATTTTTGTATTTTTAATAGAGACGGAGGTTTCACCATGTTGGCCAGGCTGGTCTCGAACTCCTGACTCAGGTGATCCGCCCGCCTCAGCCTCTCAAAGTGTTGGATTACAGGCGTGAGCCACGGCGCCTGGCCTAAAACCTTTTTTTACCACAAAATGGAGACCTGTAAGGCGAAGTGAGGTTGGATGGCTGGACGGTGGGGGTGGGGTGCAGTCCTGGATCAGGGCCGGAGCTGTCACTTCTTCCTCTTCTTGTTGTCCGGGGGCGCCTCGTTCTTCTTGCCCAGAATCTTTAGAAGGCTCTTGGACATGTAGTAGGGCCGGTCCAGGGAGCCGTTGTTCCGCTCCAGGTCTTCCACTGAGCCGCAACAGAGACCGGTTAGAGCGGACCCTGGGGCCAGGAAATCGGGGACTGGGAGGCAAGCTGCCTGCGGGATTTGGAATCCAAGCTGCACCACCACCCTTACCCCCGGGCAGGTTATGTAATCTCAGTTTCCTCCTGTGAAGTGGGGTCGGGAATATTATGTTGCATAGAGCGATGATAAGAATTAGCGGAAAAAATGCATGTCAGTCGCTTAGGAGGAGACTGGCAAACCCTGAATGGATGCATGCTGTAGAGTAAGAAAATCCCCTGCCGCTACAGCCACCTGCTGGGAAGTCTCTCTAATGGCTCTTTTTTTTTTTTAATCTTTTTTCTTTGTTTTGAGACGGAGTCTTGCTGTCGCCCAAGCTGAAGTGCAGTAGCGCAATCTCGGCTCGCTGCAACCTCCGCCTCCTGAGTTCAAGCGATTCTCCTGCTTCAGCCTCCCAAGTGGCTGGGATTACAGGCGCCCGCCACCGCGCCCAGCTAATTTTTTGTATTTTTAGTAGAGAGGGGTTTCACCATGTGGGCCAGGCTGGTCTCGAACTCCTGACCTCAGGGTGATCTGCCCACCTCGGTCCCCCAAAGTGCTGGCATGACAGGCGTGAGCCACCATGCCTGGCCTCTAATGGCTAACTTCTACCCGAGATTTCTTAGGGAAGATAGCAGAGACCTCTCCATCAGAATGCTCCTTCTTTGGAGAGCCTACCGGCCTGGGGGCTCACTCTCTTCCTTCTTCCCTAAACGCCTGGCCTCAGGATGTCACAAGAAGCTCCCTCTGGTTCGTTTAGCTCACAAAGGCATTGTTTCTAGAAGCACCAAATCTCCAAAAAAAAAAAAAAATGCTTGAACGGCTCAGTACTTTAAGGTTGGGGACAGGTGGCTGGGGGTGTCACTCACGGAAGCAGAGGAAGAGCGTGTCCACACACATGCCGAAAACGCTGAAGAAGCCGCTGGCGATGACATAGGCCCCCAGGATGGAGGTCTGGAAGACATGACCCGTTGGGGTTATTGGGTTCCTCTGGGGAGTTGGGGGTGGAGCAGCAGAGAGGGGAGTCACTCACCATGATGGGCAGCCAGTAATAGTTGAGGTGGGGGCTCTTAAAGTCTTTACCCAGCCCCGGGATGCGACCGGAGAAAAAAAAGAAGGACAGGACCCCTGTGGAATAATTCTGGGGGTTAGTGCTGCACCTCTGAGGCCACCTCTTCAGCTGCCCAGCACCCCTACCCTCTGTCCCCACAGCTTCTGGTCCCTTACCCACGCCTCCGACCACCAGCAGCTTCCCAAAGAACAGCAGCAGGTCTGTGACTTTGTCCAGGACGACCACCCTGTGCCAGAAGTTAGGGCAGGTTGAGGGTGAGAGGCCTGGCAATGCTGAGAGTGAAATTGGCTTCGTAATTTGTGGGGACTGGTGCAAAATGAAAATTGTTCACGTTTCAAGATGGCAAGAGCAGAGCACTAAACTAAGTCTAGGGCCCGACTGAGCACAGCACACCCACGAAGCCAGCCTTGGGTGGGAGATCAGAGGAGGGAGCCACAAAGCGGGGGGGGAGCAGCCTAACCTGACAATGTTTCGCATGAGTAGCATGAACGCATTTTTGGCTGAGACACAGAAATTCTTCCCGTAGATGGCGATCTGAGGGAGGTGGAAAGGTCAGAGTTACCAAGGCGAGCTGCCTGGACCAGGATGGGGGTGTCTAGACCAAAGGGCACCAGAACAAAGGGTTGCTTGCAGTGTAGCTCACCATGATGTATGCATTGCGGTTTAGGAACTTGATAAATTTTTCCAGACACCAGAGGCAGCACTTGAAACAGCACATGATGCAGCGGGCTACAGGGTTCTGCACTCCTGGGAGCGAGGAAGGCTCATGTTTGGTCACTGCCCCTCCCTAATGGCCTTCCCCAGCTCCTGACTCCTACTCCGACTCCAGACTCACCTCTGAGCTTGTGGTCAATATACTCCAAGATGACCCGGGCTATCTGCACAAGGGTCAGGATGAGGGCTCCAAATGCCAATGACCCAGTGTGGTAACTGCAGAGGGTGTTATGCAGTCAGAGACAGCTCCAGGACCCCTGGGGCCCCCGTGCCTACAATGACCAGGCCCCTGCCCCATCCTTACCGGAGTGTGCGGATGAAGGCAGAGATTAAGGGGAAGGTAGGGATGTCCTGGGGCTTGTGGAAGGCCCAGTAGAAGGAGGCAAAGGCTCCAGCGAGGACGCATTGGCCCAGGGCCAGTACCCAGTTAAGGGTCCAGAAGAGCCCCAGGACCCCATAGATTTGCAGATTGAAGACAGAACGTTGGATTAGGCCTTTGGATGAGTAGCCCTGGAAGACGCACATCAGCCCTGGGCACGAGGAGTTCACAAGGTGGGCCTGGGAGGGTAGACGGGGATAGAGTAGGCTCAGGCATCGGGGGCCTCAGTATGGAGCCTGGGCGTCCCATTCCCAGTAGCTCCTGCCCCTCCCAGAGTTGACAGGTGGGAAGTAGCTTCTCTGGACTGCGGGAATCAAGTTCTGTCGGAGAGTTCCATCTCCAGGCTCAAACTCAGTTTGGTCTGCCTATAGCATAAGCATAATCAGCTCCCTCAGTCTCAATCAGAGGGGAAGGCACTCACTCAGCATTCCCATTCCAGAGCAGCCTCTGCAACGTCTACCAAAACCCTTTCCGGCAAATTGAACAGGCTGGGTATTTGATGATATTAAGGAATTATTGTTAATTTTGTGAGATGTGATAATGATATAGTGGCTATGCTTTTAAACAGTTCTTATCTGTTGAGATCCATCTCGATGCATGTACAGGTGAAATGGCATGATGTCCAGAATTTGCCTTAAAAGTCTCCAGAAAAAAAAATTTATGAGGCGGGTGCGGTGGCTTATGCCTGTAATCTCAGCACTTTGGGAGGCCGAGGTGGGCGGATCGCCTGAGGTCAGGAGTTCAAGACTAGCTTGGCCAACATGGTGAAATCCCATCTCTACTGAAAATACAAAAAATTAGCCGGGCGTGGTGGCAGACGCCTATTATCCCAGCTATTCAGGAGGCTGAGGCAGGATAATTGCTTGAACCCAGGAGGCAGAGGTTGCAGTGGGCCGAGATCGCGCCACTGCACTCCAGCCTGGGAGACAAGAGCAAAACTCCATCTCAAAAAAAAAAAAAATTATAGGTGAGGATATAGATGAAATAAGAATAGCAAAAAGTTGAGGGTTGTGGAATCTGGGTACAGGGAACTCACTGTGCTATCATCTCTACTTTTGCATATGTTTAAAAATTCCCATAATAAAAAGTAAAAAGTCACAAATTAAAAAGCAACCCTTTCTAGCAAATATAACCAAAAAAATTTTTTTTTGACACAGGGTCTCGCTCTGTTGCCCAGGCTGGAGTACAGTGGCTCAATCTCAGCTCACTGCAACCTCTGCCTCCCGTGTTCAAGCAATCCTCCTGCTTCAACCTCCCAAGTAGCTGGGACTGCAGGTGTGTGCCACCATGCCTGGCTAATCAAAAAATCTTTTTTTTTTTTTTGAGATGGAGTCTCACTCTGTCACCATATTGGCCAGGTTGGTCTCGAACTCTGGACCTCATGATTCACCTGCCTCGGCCTCCCAAAGTGCTGGGATTACAGGTGTGAGCCACTGCGCGCGGCCTTCTGTCAGTCTTTACTGCTAGATCACAAGCAAGTTGAAAACAACACTCACGTCATACCCAGCACAGTTGCTCATGTGTATAATCCCAACACTTTTGGAGGCTGAAGCAGGCAAATTGCTTGAGCCCATTTGTTTGAGACCAGCCTGGGCAACATAGTGAAACGCCATCTCTTAAAAAAAAAAATTAGCCGGGCATGGTGGCACTTGTTTGTAGTCCCAGCTACTTGGGAGACTGAGGTGAGAAGATCACTTGAGCCTGGGAGATCAAGGCTTCAGTGAGCCATGATCGCATCACTGCACTCCAGCCTGTGTAACAGCCTTTTTTTCATTAAAAAAGAAAAAAAAAAGAAAAAGAAAAAGAACCACATCATTTTGGGCTTTGTATACCCAGTGCCTGGCACATAGTGGGTCCTCTGTACATGTAAATAAACCTTTTTTTTTTTTTTTTGAGACGGAGTCTCGCCGCCCAGGCTGCAGTGCAATGGCGCGATCTCAGCTCACTGCAACCTCCGCCTCCCGAGTTCAAGCAATTCTCCTGCCTCAGCCTCCTGAGTAGCTGGGATTACAGGCACCTGCTACCATGCCTGGCTAATTTTTGTACTTTTAGTGGAGACAGGTTTTTGTCATGTTGGCCAGGCTGGTCTCAAACTCCTGACCTCAGGTGATCTGCCCACCTCGGCCTCCTAAGTGCTGGGATTACAGGCATGAGCCACCGCGCCTGCCAAACCTCCCCTTTTTAATAGGGGTGGGGCTAATGCCTGCAGCACAGCTCATGTTCCCAGCTCAGACGAGGTGAAGATATGACAGGTTTGAGAAGAGTAAATTCCCAGCAGCCCAGCGCCACTCCCGGGGAACCTCACAGGGGAATTTTGGAAGCAGCTTCTCTCTCGGGTCCCCCGCAGGGAGTCCCACCTGGCTACTACCTAGGGCTCTGTGTTCCAAGGGAGTAAGACTTAACAATATAATACAATTCAACCTGTTGTTGAGCTCTTATCAGGTGCCAGGCATTGTACTAAGCACTTTATGTGCCCAAAGTCATTTCATCTTCTCAGCCACCCCAGGGATGGGTATTATAATTATCCTCATTTTACAGAGGAATGGAGCTGCATGTGGTGGCTCACTCCTATAATCCCAGTACTTTGGGAGGTTAAGCCAGAGGATTGCTTGGGTACCTGACTACATCGGGGCAACCCCAGGAGTTCAAGACCAGCCCGGGTAACACAGCAAGACCTTGCCTCTACAAAAAGCTTAAAATTAGCCTGGCGTGGTGTCATACGCTAGTAGTTCCAGCTGCTCAGGAGGCTGAGGTGGGAAGATTGCTTGAGCCTGGGGGATGGAGGTTGCAGTGAGCTGAGATTGCACTGCTGCACTCCAGCCTGGGCAACAGAGCAAGACCCTGTCTCAAAACAAACAAACAAACAAACAAACAAACAAACAGGAGTAGGCTGAGACTCAGAGGGTGAAGTGGTTGATGGTCCTCAAGTCAGAGCAATGTCCTGGGGAGGGGTGGAGTAAGTCCTGGTATCCAGGGCTGTCTCTCCCAGCCTCAGTTTCCCTCCCCACATGATGGATGGCTCAACAGGAGTACCAGGTATTCTGGGAACTGGTTTCTTCTAGCTCTGCTGGGGGTTGAGTGTGTGACCTTGCACAAGTGTCTTGCCCTCTGTGGCCTCAGTCTTCTCTGCACAATGAGGAATGTGGCCCCTACAGCCCCTCACCCCTACTAGTCCCGCCTCCATGTCCCCTGCTTCCTCTTACCGTGGGGTTGCATGATGTATTTATTGGCACTTTCTCACAGCCGGGGGAGCTGATGTTGGATGCCCAGAGCACATACTGGGGTTGCCCCGATGTAGCCAGGTACCCAGAGGGGAGTCAAGGAAAGCATGATCACACGAGGTCTCCACAGGTCACTCGCTCCTTAGGGACCTGTTCCTAGGTGCTTGTGCAGATCGTTTGCTGCACAGAGAGGGCTGAAATTCAGCCTGTGTGCACCCTTTCAACTCTGTTCAGGCACAGTGCTGGTGTGTCTGCCCAGAGAAAGGGGCACCTCTTCCAGTGACACCAAGGCACTCTACAAGGCAAGTATTGCTTTGTTTTCCATCAACCCCCAGGACTCCAAGAGTGGCTGGCTGCGTGGGCAGAGGATACAGAGCAGTCATGGCCCAGTAGGCAATGCAGATGAGGAGGAGGACAAAGGTGACCAGTGGGTAGAACATGGTAGACATCATCTGTCCCACAGCCCTGCAGGGAGACAAAGCTGTTAACCGGCACCGCCCCAGCTGTCCATCTTCTCAAGGGGCTGACCCCGGCCGGGCGCGGTGGCTCACGCCTGTAATCCCAGCACTTTGGGAGGCTGAGGCGGGCGGATCACGAGGTCAGGAGATCGAGACCATGCTGGCTAACACGGTGAAACCCCATCTCTACTAAAAATACAAAAAATTAGCCGGGCATGGTGGCGGGCGCCTGTAGTGCCAGCTACTCCGGAGGCTGAGGCAGGAGAATGGCGTGAACCCGGGAGGCGGAGTTTGCAGTGAGCTGACATCGCACCACTGCACTCCAGCCTGGGCGACAGAGCGAGACTCCGTCTCAAAAAAAAAAAGGGGGGGGCTGACCCCGCTGCCCTCACTGGGGCCTGCCCCACTCCCCCAGGGTGGGACCAACAGGGTTAGTGACATTGTCTTTCATATCTGTGTCCTCAGGGCCTGGTGCAGGGCTAGGCATACTGTAGGTGCTCACTGGATAAACAGAACTGAATAAATCAGGCTCACAGGACCCTTAGAGGAAACTAGGGTCACAGAGAAGCCACCTGGGGCAGCTTCGGGTGGAGTAAGGGAAGATCACCCCCAAGCGTGATCCCTTGGCAGGTGTGTGTGGCAGTTCCTGATCGGGAGCAAGCTGCTGCCCCTCCTGGCCCGGATTCCTGCCGTTCCACTCAGCCACCACCACTCCCACCAACCCCTCTAGAAGGCCTATGTCATATTCCAGGCACTCATTGAATCCTCAAGACAACCCTAGAAGGCAGGAATTATTGTTACCCCCATTTTACAGATGGGGAAGCAAAGCCACAGCAGTGTTCACCACTGTGCTATATTCCTCCCTTCTCCTCTGAGGCTCCCTGCCACCTCTCTAGCACCCCCTAGGTCCCCTAGCACTCCTGGGTCCACGCTGTCCTCAACCCCATCTCCCTCCCAGGCAGGCCCTAACTTGCTGGCCTCCTTCAGGAGGGCGATGGCAATACGAATCCGCTGCCGCAGGAAGATGAGCACCAGCAGCAGGATGGCTTCAAGCACCGCCAACACGATCACTGCAGAGGATGGGGCAGACAGACCTAGGTCAGGGCCAGGGCTGGGGCCGGGCATGGCCCAGGGCAGTCCTTGGGCAGCTGGTGGCTTGGGGGTGGGCAGGACACTCACGGGCGGCCAGCCAGGTCTCCTGCACGCTCTGGTAGGCACTGAGGTTGGTGGTGAAACCCAGCTGGGAGATGGAGGCGCCCTTGTCCCGCAGCACTCGGTACTCCTCCCAGCAGTAGTAGATGCCATATGCCAGCACGCCCAGCACTCCCAGGATCAGCACCAGCACCAGGGGCCCAGCCACCAGGCGCAGAAGCAAGATAAACAGTAGGCTCAAGACCAGAGCCACCCCCAGGGCACTGTAGGCAGGGTGAGGACAGTGAGGTTCAGCCCTAGCCCCTCAAATCTTTCCCCTTACAGAGGCCCTCCCTGCCTTTCCACACACCACCCAATGTCCCCAGATTAGGCCTCTTTCCCTTATAAATCCTGTTGGTCTTGGAATCCATTCGGAGCTCTGGCTCCTCCTCCTCTGTCCAAAGCCTGTGTTTCAGACATTGGGCGAGGGGGTAGAGGATCAGGGAGGAAGAAGGCAAGGACACAAGAGGAGGGGAATCTGGTGACTCACACAAGAATCCAATACCAGGACTGGGCAAAATCTTCAAAGATCTTAACACTGATGTCTCGGGCATTGAGGCTGTCAATAAGACCGCTGTTGGGGAGACAGAGTCAGATGGGGCTGTGGGTGGAAGGGGTGTGGCCAGGATGTGGGGGAGGGAGGTGCCTACCTGATCCCCTGCTGTATGGTGGTGTCATTGGTGATCCCTGGGAGCGCCGGTGGAGTAATGTTGGTCCATGGAAAGCAGCGTCCCAGAGCTGGAAGGGAGAGCCGGGCTGCTGGGTTGGGGGCCAGGAGCTCTGCCTGGAGGGTCTCTGGCCCCCTCCCAGTCCACAGTGCCCTTAGGGGAGGGAAGGGTGATGGGCCTTGCATCCCTCAGTGGGCTGCTTTTGATTTCACAAATGGGCTTCTGTCCTGTGGAGCCCAGTCTATCCCCTGCCTCCCCTCCCTGTCGTGCCTTGGTTTGGACCCTCCTCTCCGCTGGCCTCAACTCTTAGAACACCCTGTCACCCTTCCATCCACCCTCCACCCGAGTGGAGTGCCAGGGAGACCGTGGCACTGCCTGGACTTCATCACTCCAGGGTTCTGGGTCCCTTTGTGACTCAGACATCTCCAGAGGCTCTGCCCCAGAGACAGCATCCACACTCCCTGGCCAGGCTTCCAGGCTCTCCTGTCCAAATCCAGCCCATGTTCCCTTCTAATCTGTACCTTTGCTCTTACTGTGCCTCTCTCTCAGGGCTCTCTTTCCACCAGAAATCCCATCCATGACTCCCTGTTCAAATCCAGCTCCATCTCACCTCCTCCAGGAAGCCTTCTGACCTTATCCCCACCTCCTTTGGCAACTGTTATGTGCCTACAGAGCCACTTACTGCCATCCTTGCAACAACTTTGCCAGGCAGCCTTGCTTTGTCATTTATTTATCTATTTATTTATTTATTTACTTATTTTTGAGTCAAGGTCTTGCTCTGTCACCCAGGCTAGAGTGCAGCTGCATGATCATAGCTTACTGCAACATTGAACTTCTGGGCTCAAGCGATCCTCCCCACTTAGCCTCCCAAGCAACTGGGACTATAGATGTGCACCACCACACTTGGCTAATTTTTAAATTTTTTGTACAGATGGGGTTTTGCTGTGTTGCCCAGGCTGGCCTCAAACTCCTGGGCTCAAGCAATCCTCCCACCTCAGCCCCCCAAAGTGTTGGGATTACAGGTGTGAGTCACCTCACCTAGCTTATTTATTTTTTAGAGGCAGGGTTTCTCACTCTATTGCCCAGGCTGGAGTGCAGTGGCACAATCATAGCTCACTGTAACCTCCAACTCCAGGACTCAAGTGACCCTCCCGCCTTAGCCTCCTGAGCAGTTGGGACTACAGGCGTGAGCCACTGCACCTCACTGTCATTTACATTCTAAAGATGAGGAAACAAGGTTCAGAGAGGTTGCATAGTTGGGTCAAGACCATAGGGCTGGAAAGTGCTAGAATTTATATTCAGATCTACTTGACTTTGAAGTATTCACTTGAGATACTCCTTACTGTACTTAAATTGGTAACTGGATATCTCATCTTATGCTATAAATTGTCTAATTTTTTTTTTTTGAGATGGAGTCTCACTGTTGCCCAGGCTGGAGTGCAGTGGCACCATCTCGGCTCACCGTAAACTCCGCCTCTGGGCTCAAGCAATTCTCCTGCTTCAGCCTCCCGAGTAGCTGGGATTTTAGGTGCCCACCACCACACCTGGCTAATTTTTGTATTTTTAGTAGAGACGGGGTTTCACCATGTTGGCCAGACTAGTCTCGAACTCCTGACCTTGTGATCCGCCCGCCTCGGCCTCCCAAAGTGCTGGGATTACAGGTGTGAGCCACTGCTCCCGGCCTAAAATTTTTGTTTGAGACGGAGTCTCGCTCTGTCAGCAAGGCTAGAGTACAGTGGCGCGATCTTGGCTCACTGCAAAGCTCACTGCAACCTCTGCCACCCGGGTTCAAGCAATTCTCCTGCCTCAGCCTCCTGAGTAGCTGGGATAAGAGGTGCATGCCACCACGCCCAGCTAAGTTTTGTATTTTTAGTAGAGATAGGGTTTCGCCATGTTGGCCAGGCTGGTCTCGAACTCCTGATCTCAGGTGATCTGCCTGCCTCAGCCTCCCAAAGTGCTAGGATTACAAGCATGAGCCACCATGCCTGGCCTAAAAATTGTTTTATATTAAAAATGACATTTGCAACTGGGTGTCGGGGCTCATGTCTGTAATCCCAGCACTTTGAGAGGCTGAGGTGGGAAGATTGCTTGAATCGAGGAGTTCAAGACCAGCCTGGGCAACATAGCAAGACTTCATCTCTTAAAAAAAAAAAAAAGACATTTGCTACTGGAAGGAAGAGCACACTGTAAAAGAAAAAAAGTTCAACTGTGATCCTACCACCCAGCCACGTTCACTTATAACATTTGAACAAATATCCTTCTAGCCTTTTCCCTGTGCATATATAAAAATGATATGTGTGCAGGCTGGGCGTGGTGGCTCATGTCTGTAATCCCAGCACTTTGGGAGGCCAAGGTGGGTGGATCACGAAGTTAAGAGTTCAAGACCAGCTTGGCCAAGATAGTGAAACCCCGTCTCTACTAAAAATACAAATTTAATAAATAAATTTAATAAATAAAATAAAAATAAAAATTAGCCGGGCGTGGTGGCGGGCACCATGTGCTGTAATTCCAGCTACTCGGGAGGCTGAAGCAGAGAAGCGCTTGAACCCGGGAGGCGGGGGTTGCAGTGAGCCGAGATCACGCCACTGCACTCCAGCCTGGGCAACAGAGGAAGACTCCGTCTAAAAAAAAAAAATGTGTGTGTAGATTCACCCATGTATGTTTTCATGAGATTTTCATACAGTCTCTTTGTGAACAACTCTAATCTCTTCACCTAGAATGTAGCTGAAGCAGGGAGCAGTTGTTATCCCTGCCTCTGTCCCCAGCACCTGGCACATAGTAGGTCCCCAAAACACTGATGGTCTGACTGCAAGGCCACATAACAAAGAGCAAAATGAAGACCTGATGCTAATTCCAATTTTGCCACCAACAAGCTATGTGACTTCACTCTCTCTGGGCCTGATTTCTTCATTCAAGCAATGAAAACACTGGACTAGATGACGTCTGAGGAAGGAATCTGTGCTTCTCACCTGGAGCAGAGGGGAGGAGGAAACTGGGGCAGAGTTCCTGTTGCAGGCTTGTGATCACCGTCTGTGGCAGGAGTGAAAGGACAGACACACAGACACAGAGCAGGATGAAGAAGCAGGTCCCCTCACCACCACCATGGGGCTCAGCCTGTCCCACACTCCCCAGGAGAGCCAACCTGGTGATGATCTACCCAACTCCCCCTCCCTCTCGTGCCCACCCTGGCCCTTCTGGGCGACAGTGATGAGGTTAGGGGCAATATTCACCATATTCCAGGGTACCCCTGGCAGACAAAAGTTCCTGTTTTTTGTATAGAAGACTTCCCCAACAGTCTGTGAGAACTCGTTTTTTCCCACAGTCCATGGGTCCTCCGGGCAGGAGGACACACACACCTGGGTGCAGAGAGAACACTAAGGGGCTGGAACCTGAGACCCTGGGTGAGATCTGGGGTAGAGGCAGGTCCCAGGCTCTGACCTGGGGTGTGGGGCACTGTAGGCCGTTCTCAGCAACTGAGATGATGTTGCTGGACAGGATGCAGCTGAAGATGTTGAAGTACAGGAGATACGGCTTATCTCTGTGGGAGGGGAGGGACCATGTGCATCAGGGCCTGGTCAGGTGTTGGGGGAGGGGAGGGACCACTAGGGTGGCTTCTCAAGAATACAGTGGGCCCAGCCCAGCGTGGCCCATACCAGTCACCTCCCAGCTCCTGGCCCTAGCTCAGCTGGGGAGGTAGGGAGATGCCTAGAAGATCTCTCAGAGTAAGTCACCATTGCAGCAGCTGACAAATAGCTCAGAGCATGAACTTGGAGCTCCACAACTTCATATCATCTTTATGATCTTGAGCAAGTCACCTGTTCTCGGTCTTAGTTCTACTCCATATAAAACAGTAGTGCCTACCTCATGAGATTTCAATGCGCTTGTGTGTGTAAAGTTTACTGCCTGCCTGGAACATAGTAAATGCTATATAAATATTTGAGGTTTTATTATTTATTGGACATCTGTATGTGAGGACTGTTGGCATTGCTTCTGGAATTCCCCTTGAATTTCAAATAAGGAAATCAAAGCTCAGAGAGCTTGAGTAACTTGTCCAAGGCCACACAACCAAAACTTGGTCCAGTTGGGGATCCAAACACCAATCTCTGAACTGTAAAACTCATACACTTAACACGACTCTCCACTGCCTCCCATTTCTGGGGGGACTCAAGAAGCTAACTGTCCAGCAATGGTTCTTAACGTGGCCTGGAGTTGTCAGATTCAGGGAGGCTGAGGTGGGGTGGGGACAGCAGGGAAAGGCTGTGGAAGAGCACGGACAGGTCTGGAGCCTGAGTTGGGGGGGTGTCTCCTGCCCACCCTACCTCGCCTCGCTCCTGCACTCCTCTTCTCGCCTTTGTACTCACTTGTTCTCCCCCATGCCACAGTAGGCCCCAGTAGAGTTCCTGGGGTAGAGGACTTGCCGGGGGTCTCCATACAACCAGGCTGCAGACAGAGGCACAGATGAGTCATTGGAGGGCAGGGACTTAGTGGGGCAGTTATGGGAATGGTCCCTCCCTGGGTTCCTGTCCCTCACCCACTGCCCTGGCTCTGAGCAGCTGGAAACTCACCCACAATCCCCACCACGATGTAACCTAGAATGAAGAGCAGGAAGAGGACGCAGCAGATGACATCTGTGCAGCTTCTGAGAGAGAAACGAAATGGGAGGCTGAGCTAAGGAGACTTGGGGAGGTAGGGCTTATGGTCTGGAGGGGTTAAGGGTTAGAGAGTTGGGTGATGCTGCAGCATGGGCATCAGTAGGCTTTATTTTTATTTTTTTATTGCTTTTACTTTTTTATTTTGAGACAGGGTCTCACTCTGTCACACAGACTGGAGTGCAGTGGTGCAATCTTGGCTCACTGCAGCCTCTGCCTCCTGGGTTCAAGCAATTCTCCTGCCTTAGCCTCCCGAGTAGCTGGGATTACAGGCGCGTGCCACTACTGCCCGGCTAATTTTTTTTAAATATTTTATTTAGAAAACCTAGCCAGGCACAGTGGCTCACGACTGTAATACTAGCTACTTGGGAGGCTGAGGCAGGGCAATCCCTTGAGGCCAGGAGTTTGAGACCAGCCTGGGCAACATAGTGAGATCCCATCTCAAAGAAATTAGCCTGGTGTGATGGTGCATGCCTGTAGTCCCAGCTACTCGGAAGGCTAGGGCAGGAGGATCACTTGAGCACAGGAGTTCGAGCCTGCAGTGAACCCCCATCTCCAAAACACAAAAAGAAAGAAAACCTTTTTCTGGGTGGGTAAACTTTCTTCTGAAGTAAAAGACAGAAAAGCACACAACTCGCAAGGGCTCAGCTGGGTGAGTTCTCTCGCTTGTGAAGCCGGCACTTAAGTCAAGAAACAGAACATCCCCCCAGAACTGGGAAGCCCTCGATGCCTGCTCCAGACACAACAATCCCCCCAGGGCACCACCCATCTGGGGCAGGAGTTTCTCTTTTTCACAAGTTTCCTACTAATATTTTAGCAAATACAAAGCAAATACTGGATTCCACACTGCACCCACCACCCCCGCCAGCCCCCGGAGCAGTGCCCAGAGCTCACCTGTTCTTGATGGGGCCTCGAAAGGAGGGGTCGTATTTGACTGGCTTCCCTGAGGGACATGAGAAGAGGTGTGGAGGATGAGTCTCTCTCTGCATATCTTGTCCTGCTGAGTCCTCCTAGCCCCAGGATCCTACCCAGGCCTCAGGTGTTTGGAGGGAGATGGGCTAGGGCAGGACTGGCAGGAGGGGAAAACTGGGGAGCAGGAAAGGTAGGATCCAGGCCTGGTCAGCAGCTCAGCAGCTCCCTGGGAGCTCCACCCAGGCTGCCATGGGGAGGGGAAGGAAGGCCTTTATAGTTTCCGGCTCACATCTCAAGGCAGTCAGTCTGGGAAATGGCCTTGGTCCCCTGCCCTACCCTGGCACGGTTCTCCTGAGTCTCCCTTTAGCTGGGATGTGGGACTCCCAGTGGCTCTCACTCCCTCATTCTCATCCCTGCCTCCTCCCTAATCCCTCCCCAGGGACCACACAGACCCACAGCCCCTCAGGGAGGTCATGGCCTCTTCCCCTATCTGCCCCAGGCCCTACCTTACCCTCTGGTTCAAGGCTATGGGGAAAGAAACTGGAGACAAAGGTGTCAACCCCAGCAGGGCCTGGGGAGGGAAGCGGCCCTGTACATCCTCACTCTGGTGGGACCTCAGTCCCCTGGCCACAGTGTGCTCCGGGCTCTGGGCCAGCAGTCAGAGTGACACCTGAGCCCAGCCATAGAGATTGCAGGCACGTTGAGTTCCTGGTCCTCCCTGAGTACACACACAGGGAGGAGGAGGGCTGGGCAGTCAGGGTTCCTTGTGGGCACTGAGGAGGGAGAGCCGAGGGCTGGGCAGGAGTCTGGGAAGGAGCGGGTGGGGTCCACTTTCCCCAGGTGCGCTGGACTCTGTCCCTCCATGGCTCATGGACAATGATTGACCTGAAGCCGCTCCAGGAAGTCTACTCGGGAGTCCTCACTGCCTGCTCCCCTATGGCCCTAAGGGACTCAAGCCTCTCCTCGAGAAGGTCCCTCATAGGGGTTCCTTCCCCTTCAGACCAGAAGACCAGGGGGGCCTCCGCAGGTGAGTCCCCAGCCTTCACTGCTCGTGGGGATCTGGAGGCCAGTCCCCAGCTCCCTCTCTCCTCAGAACCCCAGCCCCTTTTCCTTGCAGATTCTGGAAACAGGCTCCCTGCTGTTTCTCCCCTCAGGCCTCACCCTTCACAGGAACCCCAGGGGCCCTGTCCCTATTCCTCAGAGTACCCCAAGACCAGCTCCTGCTCCTAGCTCCTCACAGAGACCCCTAGGCAGGACCCCAGCCCCCTTTCCACAAAGACCCTCAGCCCCAACTCCTCACAGGGACCCCCAGCAGAACCCACTCCCTCTGCCACTTCTCCCAGAGACCCTGGCAGGCAGAGGCCAGCCCACTCAGGGTCCCCTCACTCCTCAAGGGAGCCGGCAGGCCACAAGCAGCTTTCGCCCTCAGAGACCCAGACTCCAGGCTGAACCTCCTCCTCCTTACAGGGACCCTGGCCTCACTGGTTGCAGGCTCTGCAGCACAGGACACTCCCAGCATCCAGCCCTATTCTGCTCAGGGCCCCAACCTGCCACCTTCCATCTCGGCTTTGTTTCCTAGGGCCCTGCCCTTAGGGACCCAGAGTCCAGGCCTGAAATACCCCCCTCCTCCCAAGGACCTCAGCCCCAACTCTTCAGAGGCACCCAGCTTCACTCCCCATGGGCTCCCCAGCAACAGCCCCAGCCCCCGGGCCCCATCCTCCTCCCAGGACCCTGACTCCCTCCCTCCATGGCTCCCGGTTCCCGGGCCCTCCCCTCAGGGACACAGTACTCTCCTTAGTTCCTCTCCCTGGAGCCAGCCCCAGACACCATTCCCAAAGTACCCGTCCTCCCCTCCCTCCACAGGGTCCCGGGCCTCGCCCCAGTCTCACCGTAGGCCTCGTCATCCTCGTCCCGCTGCTTTCCCCCCATGGCTCAGTCTCCGGAGTGATTGGAGCCCTGGAGACCTGGCGTCTCACCTGCTGCCCGCCCCGCCCTCCCACACGTCACAGCCCCACCCCCGCCTGTGGTCCCCGACACACTCTAGTTCCTTCTTCTCAACTTTGTGCCCAGCGGGCTGGGGAGCTGGAGCCTGGGACGGGGGCTCAGGGCTATTTCCTGGGGGCACTACGGACCACAGTGAACGACCTGGCATGCTCTGATAAGAAAACGCTTTATAATCTCGCAAACTACCTTAACTGCCGTACACTCCCAACACGCTCCCGCCAAAGATTAAAGTGTGGAAATTGGACCTGTTTTTTCCTTTTTGAGATGGAGTTTCGCTCTTGTTGCCCAGGCTGGTGTGCAGTGACTCAATCTTGGCTCACTGCAACCTCCGCCTCCTGGCTTCAAGCGGTTCTCCTGCCTCAGCCTCTGGAGTAGCCAGGATTACAGGTGCCTGCCACCACGCCCAGCAAATTTTTTCTATTTTGAAAGATGGGGTTTCACCAAGTTGGCCAGGCTGGTCTTGAACTCCTGATCTCAGGTGATTCGCCTGCCTTGGCCTCCCAAAGTGCTGGGATTATAGGTGTCAGCCACCGTGCCTGTGAAACTGGATCTTCATAGTGGCCCCCCACCTCCCTGCCCCGCACTGGGCGGCCATCACACCAGCCACACCTGTCCAGCCTGCTTCCCATCCTATTCTGGCCCTTGGACCCACATTCCCTCTAGCCAAGTATGCTTTCTCCCCACCCCAACACAAAAATCGCAGTTTATTACCAAACCCAACATTTATTGAGAACAAAAGGAACCAGTTGGCATAGAGGCCCGACTTCAATTCATCAAACTTCAACTGAGGATGGGGAACACGGGGGGTGGCCAGCCCTGAAGTTGCCCTCCCAGGGAGGAACCAGCTCTGGGAGGGAGGGGCTGTCAGACCTCCAGGGCCTGGCTGGGATCTCTGGTCAGGAATGTGTGAAAGGGTGGTGGGGAGAGAAGATGGCAGCACCCCCAGGCATGGGCTGCGAGCAGCTGGTGGCAGAGGAGGCGGCTGAGCTGTGGCCATCCATGCTGGGGAGAGAGGGTGTGGTCCGTTCTCATGTGTTGACAGGGGGCAGGGAGCCGAGCTCGGGCAGCAGCTCAGGGTGTGGGTCCAGGCGGGCCAGACGGCTCTGCTCCAGGGCAATGGCTTCGGCTGAGTGCTTGCACTTCTCAGAGCCACATTGGCAGGTGAAATATTTGCTTTTGATGTCCCAGAAGCGGTCGCCATAGTCAAACCTGTCAGAGGAAAACAGGAGCTTGTGGGACCTGGACCCAGCCACCAAGAGCCCACCCCGAAGACCCTGTGGATCCTGCTCCCTGAGAGGGACCCGACACCCAACCTATCTTCTCCAGATGGGATCTGAGCCCCTTGTATGTTCTATGGACTTTCAGCATCAGCATTGCCTGGGGACTTGTTAGAAATGCAGAATCCTGGGCCCCATCCCAAGCCTACTGATTCAAAATCTCTCTGGGAGGCACAGGACTGTTTCCCCAAGTCCTCCAGGAAATACTTATGTACACTGAAATCTGAGAAGCTCTGCACTACTCCATGCCTGGACACCAGGTACATGCCAGCCTTCAGGTCCCAGGTTTGCTGCATCTCCCACCCCCTGGCAGAGCCCCTAGAGACCCCTAGAGTCTCACCCTAGCTCCTCCCCAGTCCGGATGTCTCGGGAACTGAAGAAGGCGATGCGTGGAAATCGCAGGTCTTGGTGCAGCATGAAGACCCGGACGGGAATGATGTTGGGGTCACACAGGTGGTTGATGAAGCGGCTGATGTTGCCATAGTAACGGGCATCTATGCAGTACACCTCTCCATCCTGGGGCAGGGGGATGGCACTCTTCACATCTCCCCCGACCCTGCTTGCCCTCCCCACCCACTGACTCCCCAGTCCCTCCTCCCCAGGTTTCCATTTGCTGACTTCCCAGAGGCTCCTGAAAGCCAGCCCTGGGGAGCAGCAGGGTAAGGAGGGTCTCCTGCTCACCTTGTTGTCTAAGTCGAAGAGGTAAGAATCATCCTCTCTCACATCAGCCTCAGCATCAGAGATCAGCTCCCCGACATACCTGTGGGACAGGAATCCATGGTTCTGAAGGTGAGTGTGGGCTATTAGGAGGTGGCTCCAGGCCCCATCTCTCTTCACAAGCCTGTGGAATCTGGAATGGGCAGGGCTGGCAGGTGTGGGGAAGGGAAGGCCTGGAGCAGCAGTGGTGGGCAAGTGAAAGGGCAGCATTCCAGCCTTGACAGAGGAAGCCTTCAGTCAGCACAGAGACAGACAACAAGCTCTGTGGTTAAGGGGATTAATGTGTAGGGGCAGTTGGCCTGGGTGGGGAAGTTCGGGTTTGGACACAGAGAGGTTTGTGTTCCAGGAGCCACCCGGCAGGAATGGGCGATATGGAACAGGAGAGGGGCCAGGACTGCAGGAAGAGCCAGAGGTACAGGAGTGGCAAGGAACTCAAGGCATGATTCGGGGCAAGAGCACCCACACATATCTGGACACCAGAGGGAGGAGAGGAGCCAGCTATCTAAGGAGGGTGAGCAGACATGGGAGATTCAGACACACGGAGAGGACGTGGGTGGGAAGTGACTGTCAAGAGACAGCTTCAGCAGAGTGGGAAGGGCAAAGGCCGATTTTGGCAGGGACAGGCAGTGAGTGGATGGTGGGGAAACTGAGGCCCAGCAGGAAGGGGCTGCTTGCCAGAGAAGTTGAGAGATGACATGATGGAAAGAAACTGGATGGTCTGTTGAACAGGCAAGTATGGTTAGAGGACTATCTTTTTTAAAGGCCAAAGAATGGTCAGGCACGGTGGCTCACGCCTGTAATCCCAGCACTTTGGGAGGCCGAGGTGGGCGGATCATCTGAGGTCAGGAGTTGGAGACCAGCCTGGCTAACATGGTGAAACTCCGTTTCTACTAAAAA
Source organism: Homo sapiens (assembly GCF_000001405.40). Lineage (NCBI taxonomy): Eukaryota > Metazoa > Chordata > Mammalia > Primates > Hominidae > Homo > Homo sapiens. The sequence goes on from NT_167247.2 coordinate 3,224,012, forward strand.
TACAAAAAATTAGCCGGGTGTGGTGGTGCGCACCTGTAATCCCAGCTACTTGGGAGGCTGAGGCAGGAGAATCGCTTGAACCTGGGAGGTGGAGACTGCAGTGAGCCAAGATTGTGCCATTGCACTCCAGCTTGGGCAACAAGAGTGAAACTCCGTCTCAAAAAATAAATTAAAAAAAAAAAAAAAAAAGAGCCAAAGGAGACTAAAGTAAGATTGAGGGTTGTGGGATGGCAGCCAAGAGAAAGGGGGAGATTACAGATGCTGGGCAGAGAAAGAACTGATGGAGAGGGACAGGCCCCTGAGGAGGTGGACAGATAGGTAGCTGTTATCACCTCCACTCTACAGACAAGAAAAATAAGGCTCAAAGAGGTTAAGTAACTTGGCCAAGAACATCCAGAAGCAGAGAGGGGCTCAAACCCAAGTCTGTTTGTCTCCCAAACTGGCACTTTCTCCAGCTAGGAAGGGCGAGGAGGGGGTGGAGGGGAAGGTAGAGGGTGGAGGTGGAGGGGAGGGAAGACAAGCTCTGTGGTCTGGGCAGAGTGGAGGCAGGTGCCATTCTCAGCTGGGGGGATGGGGGTCAGAGGCGGCTGGCTGCTCAGCTGCAGGAATAGGGGTCAGAGGAGGCTGGCTGGAGAGTGGCCAGATGGAGACATGTGACTCATCAGGGCAGATGGCTGAGAGGGAGGCCTGGCAGTCAGCAGTGGCCATGTATCCCCTTCCCACCAGGTGTTAAGGTGCTCCCGGTGACTTACTCGCAGATGAAGGTCCCCTGTGGGATGGTCTGCAGGGCGCGGACCCCCCAGCCCATCTTGGCTGTTCGGTAGAGCTGTAGCCGCACCCTGGGGGTAGGAGAGATGGCGCTGTTGGGTGGAGGCCCTGGAAAAGCCCCAGGGGCAGGGAGGAAAGGGTGAGGTGGGGAGAGGGTGGGCTGTGGAGCAGGGCCTCACTTGATGCCACTCTGTACGACCCGGTTCTTGCAGTTTCTCCAGCATGAGCACGCCTGGTTACACTCGAAAATCAGCGGAGGCTCAATCTTGTTAAATTCCTGGAGCAATCGCCCATCCTAGGGTGCGGAGGGGAGGATAGTGGTTTCTCTGTGGGGCCCACCTCAGCTGCCCACCCAGGAACCCCAAGACTCTACAGAGACAGGGAAGTTGGGGTTGGGGAGGTCACACAGGCTCTGAGATCCGAGAGCACGAAATGCAGGAGCATCATCCCTGGTTTGCATAGACCTGGGCACACGCCCATCGCTGTCCCAGCCACATCCCAGGATTCCCAGGCCTTGCCCAGTCCTCTCAGTCACTTCCCCCACAGGGTAGGAGGTGAGGGACATGGTCCCAGGGAGCTGGTTTATTGGAGGCTGGCTCCTCTGAAGGAGGGGCCGGGTGTCTGTGGCCAAGGCAAGGGGCACGCACCTTGTCATACCAGCACCGGATGCTGAGCTGGCCGCACAGGCAGTTGGAGCTAGAGCAGTCGTCCACACACGTGCAGTGCTGGGGCGAGGAGGCAGAGGTCAGCTCAACCCCATGATCGGTCTGGGCCCCTCTACTCTTGATGCCCCCTGACCCCCTAACCACTGTCCTTTCTTTGGGGTCCATGTGTTACAACAGTGGGTGGTGATGGTCCTAGGGTGACGGGTAATCAGTATGGTGGTGTCCCCAGGGCTACTGGGAGCTCATATGATACCTTGCTGTGACCTAGGAAAAGGATCCCTCCCCTGGTGGGGATGCGACCCCACACCAGGGATCCCTTTCAGCCAACCCTTCCTTGGCCAGGTGCCTTTGCTGGTTTGAAGCTTGTCCAACTGTACTTGGCAGCTCTCGGTGTCCTTTTGGGGAGGCCCCGGGCCCCCTACTCACCTGCAGGTGGGTGATGTTGCGATCGATGTTCATGGTGGACGTCTCGCAGTTCTCTGAGATGTACTTGTAATCCTCAGGGCAGGGCTCCCCATCCACACCGTTGACACAGGGAATGGGCACGTTCTCATAGCCCCGAGCCACGTCCCTGCAGAAGACGGGAAGAAGGGGCTGGGAAGCTGGAAAAGGGGGTGAGGAGCTACTCCAGGTATAAGGAAGAGAGTTGGGGAGGTTCCTGGGGCTGGGGGCAGGGGAGTAAGGTTGCCAGGTAAGATGCAGGACAGCGAGTTAACATAGAATTTTAGATAAACAAGAAATAGCTTTTTAGTATGTCCCAAAAATTACACAGGACATTCTCACACTAAAAAAGTATGCATCTGTGCATCTGAAATTCCAGTTTAACTGGGTGTCTTCTATTTTTATTTGCTGTATCTGGCAACCCTAGTGGGGAGGGGGCCTGTGGGTGGTTCTGGGGATTCAGTGGTGCATGGGGAGGGGTTGGGGAATGTTGTGAGGATGCAATGGAGCCTGGGGAGGGTATGGGTGGGGAGGAGGTGGTCTTGGGTGCAGAGAGGGGCCCAGGGCTCACCGGCAGATGATCTTCTCTGTGCGGATGGCCCGATTTCCCACCCCAAGTCGGAGCTTGCGGTTGAGTTGAAGCGCAAACCACACGTCGGAGCGCTCGGGAGTCAGGTCCCATGCTGTGTCCCCCTCTTTGTTCCGCAGCTCAGGGTTGGCCCCACGTGACAGGAATAACCTGAAGAGGGGACAGGATGCCCAATGCAGGGTCTGAGGCTGCAAGAAGTGGGGGCAGGGGCATCAAGGGCGGGGCAGGGGCTCACAGCACGCAGTCATGGTAGCTCTCCCGAGCTGCGATGTGCAGGGGGGTGTCCCCATGGTAGTTGACAGCATGGAGGTCACAGCGCGCATTCAGAAGGACTTCGGCGATGGCGGCGCTGCCCGTGAAGGAGGCCCAGTGCAGGCAGATGTTCTCCTCCTGTGGAGGTAGGAGGGGAACAGATGAGGTGCAGGCAGCTGGGCCCTTGAATCCAGCCTCCACCTTGCTCAGGGGCCTGGGGCTGCCCTACCTCAACCAAACGCTCACTCACGTTGTCAGTGAGGGTGACGTCGGCGCCCCGCGTCAGTAGCATGCGGATCACCTCGATGTGCTTGTGCTCTGCAGCCCAGATGATGGGCGTCCACCCCCCACTGTCCTGTGGGTGGGAAGGGAGTGAGGGTGGGGGCAGCTGGCCCTGCTCACCAAAGCAGCAAATGGTCAAGATTGGCTGTGTGTGTGAATCCCAGCTCCACCATTCACAAGCTGTGGGACCCTGGGTAAGTCACTTAACGTCTCTGGGTCGCAGTTTCTTCATCTAAAAAATGGGACTAGTAGGGTCGGGCGCGGTGGCTCATGCCTGTAATCCCAGCACTTTGGGAGGCCGAGGCGGGCGGATCACGAGGTCAGGAGATGGAGGCCATTGTGGCCAACACGGTGAAACCCTGTCTCTACTAAAAAATAGAAAAAATTAGCTGGGCGTGGTGGCAGGCGCCTGTAGTCCCAGCTACTAGGGAGGCTGAGGCAGAATGGCGTGAACCCGGGAGGCGGAGCTTGCAGTGAGCCAAGATCGTGCCACTGCACTCCAGCCTGGGCGACAGAGCAAGACTCCGTCTCAAAAAACAAACAAACAAAAATGGGACTAGTAGCGTCTACCATCTGATGCCAGAGAGAAAATAAAGTAATTGTTCTCTTTCCAAAAAATACAGCCAGGAGCTGGTCATGGAGGTGCATGCCTGTAGTCCCAGCTACTCATGTGACTGAGATGGGAGGGTTGCTTGAGCCCAGGATTTCGAGGCTGCAGAGAGCTATGACTGTCTGTGAACTGCTACTGTACTTCAGCCTGGGTGACATAGCAAGACCCTGTCTCTTAAAAGAAAAAACGAACAAAAATTTCCTAAGTCTGCCCACTCAAAAGTCCTAGAAGCAGCGACAACCCAATAACAATAAACACTCCTAGGAACATAGATTGTATTCTCTAAAAAATGCTTCTGGCCGGGCGCTGTGGCTCACGAGGTCAGGAGTTCAAGATCAGCCTGGCCAATATGGTGAAACCCCGTCTCTACTAAAAATACAAAAATTAGCCGGGCATGGTGGTGGGCGCCTGTAATCCCAGCTACTCGGGAGGCTGAGGCAGGAGAATGGCGTGAACCTGGGAGGCGGAGCTTGCAGTAAGCTGTGATCACGCCATTGCACTCCAGCCTGGGCAACAGAGTGAGACTCCGTCTCAAAAAAAAAAAAAAAAGTTTCCCATAAAGGAAGCAGAGTTTCTTAGAGAAATGGTGGATTCTGAGTTGGGGGCAGGAAATGTGCTGAAAGGTCAGGAGGCTCTCAAAGGCCACTGGGCCACTGGGTCATGTCACAGCCACAGAGGCCTCTTAAAGGGGCTTCTTCTGGACAATGATGGAATAATTCAAAGACTGAGAAGAATGCCAATAAATGACTAAAACACATCCAATGTATGACAACCCAAGAGTTAATAAAAAGCCTCACTGGACACTTTCAGAGATTAAGACAGGAACTGATTATTCTGAAACTTGATAAAGAGAAAGAAACGAGAAAGAAAAGAATGAAGAGAAATACAAATGAGGAAGAAGAAAGCAATGAGGACAGACACGAGCAGTGTGAGGTCAGATGTAGGAAAGGCGGCCCAAAGCCTGAGGCCAAGCCAAGGAACCCAGGCACCAGGGACCCAGAGGGGCTGGGCTGGGTGGGCCGCTGACCTGGGCGTTGACGTCCACCTGTCCTGTGCTCAGCAGCAGGCTGACCATCTCCAAGTTCCCGATTTTGGCTGCGTGGTGGAGGCAGGTGGAACCGTCCTCCTCCTGAGGGAGACACGGGCAAATGAGCCTTTGGGCTGGCACCCCAAACCTGGTCCCTGACTCCGGGGGCCACGCCCTGCTGCCTGCGCGCACACCTTGCTATAGACACAGCCACCACGCTGCACCATGTAACGGGCTACCTCCAGGTGGTTGTTCACCACGGCCTCCATCAGTGGCGTCCGCTGCTGTTTGTCCACTGCATTTATGTTGGCTCCAGCCTGTGAGGGGGCAGGAGGGCTGGCACCAGGGAGGCATGGGGCAGGGGAGGGGCCTAAGGGCCTGGTGAATGAGGCATGGGGCCGGGCCCGTGCTGACCTGCAGCAGCACATGGCAGATCTCCACGGAGCCCTTCTGGGCGGCTGCATGCAGGGGCGTGCGCTTGCTCTGCTGGTCGCTCTGGAAGTTGGGGTCCAGGTTGTCCACTGCGGGGAGAGCCCGCCACACCGGGAGAGGGAGGGACAAGTGGTAAGCAAGCTAGGGGGCAGGTGGCACTTCTTTCAGGAAGGCTTCTCAGGGCCCCAAGCTGGATCAGGGCCCCTCCTGGCATTCTCCGAGCTTGCCTCCACCACAGCATTTATCAGAATAAGGAGTCAAAGGCATCAGCTCTGCCTGAATTCAAACCCTGCCTTGCTTCTCAGTACCACTGTGCACTGTGCAAGGTCCCTAACCTCTCTGTGCAAGCCAAGGCTAACAGGTATAAGCACTCAGAACAGGACCCAGCACCTATGAGTCACCACATCCCCATCGTTATGGGTTACATGTGTCTTTTCCCCACCACACTAAGTCCTTCAGGGCAAGGACTGTGTCCTTCACGACTGTACTCCTGGCCCTGTACCCAGTGCCTGGTATATACATGAAGCTTGGTCAAGGTCTGCTGAAGGAATGGGTGGCACTCACACAGCATCAGGATCACCTTCTGCAGCTCGCCCTGCTTCACGGACAGGTACAACTGCCGAGGGTGGAAACGGAGCTTCTTCCGCCTGCCAAGGGAGCACGGGAGCGGGGAGAGAAGGGGAGCTCCTCAGATTCCAGCATCAGCCTCGACACCACTCCTCTGGCCTCAGCCCCAGTTGCTGTGCCTGAGCAACTCCCCACTCACCTCTCTGACTCCTGGATGACCAGGGCCTTTTCCAGGGCCTCCCGGCCTGGCCCCAGTGGCAGCCCCACGGCTGAAAGGCAGCCCCCATTGGGCAGGGTCAGGGAGGGCCCTGAGCTGTCAATGGTGTCAGCCAGGGGATCGCAGGGCGGGCGCCGGGGTTCCCCATGCCCTCGCATCCGGGCACTGTGGAAGAAGGAGCTCATGTCCAGGAGCAATAGGGGTGGGGGAGGGAACAGACAGTACAGAAGGGGGAGGCCAGTACCTGGGCTGAGAAGTGTCTGCTCTCCCGGGGACATCCTGGGACAGGGGTGGGGGTGCAGGAGCTGCAGTGCCGGCCGGTGGGGTCACCCCGTCACCCCGGGGGATGGTCACCTCTTGAGCTTCAGAAGCATCCTCCCCACAGTGGGGACAGAAGACCATCCCATTCAGCTGAGACACACAGGCCTTGTGGAAGCGGTGGGCCACACGGAAGTCAGGGTGGCACTCCAGGAAGGTGCCCTGGGAGCAGGGAAACAACATGGTCAGGTTACTGGGGCCCCCTCTGCCACAGGGCATGCTACCTGTCTGCCCCACTGGTCACTCACCGCCGTGCAGAAGTAGCCGCAGCCCGGGCAGCAGTGGTGTTTGACCATGCGGGCGCGGTGGGTCTCACAGAGCACCATCAGGGCCACACGGCTGGATGGCCTCATGGTCTCCCGCTTGAGGATGGCGGCATTGCAGCCTGACAGCTGTGCGCAGTGAGGATGGGTGAGAAGAGAGCGTGAGGCTGGGGCCGGGGACTGGACGCCCTGGCACCTCTCCCACCAGCCCACGGCCCCACCTCTCCGTCCACACTCTCAGTGGCCATGCACTTGTGCCCCGCCCTCTCGCTGATGCGGTCAATCTTGGGTGCCTCCATGCGGCAGCTGCACAGGGGCAACTCCTCAAACCCTCGCTCTGTCTCCAGCGAAGATGTGTCATTGGACACCCCTTGGATGGAGGAAAAGAGGAGCTGAGGGAGGCTCTGCACCTCACCTACTGGGACCCCTGGCGGGTCCTCTCACTCCCTCCCTACCCCACCCCGCCATGCCCCAGAACCCCTAAAGCCTGGCCATGGACACCCCGGCTCTGGCGTGGTTCCCCTCCTTCCCTTTCCCTCCTGCCCTGAGGTCGCCCCCTAGTGGCTCCCTGTCCCGGCAATTGGCAATTACCAGCGTGGTTGGGGGAGAGGGTCCCCTCGCTGGGCAGCTCCAGGGACCCCAGAGGGACCTCCATGTACTCACTGGGGCCTGAGGAGCCCACACCATTCACTCCTGACACAGAGACAGAGAGAGTGAGAGTGCGAGCTCACAGGTGCCTGGACGCGTGGGTACATGCAGGTGGACATGCGAGAGCGTGTGTGTGCGTGCACACACTCTGGGGGGCCGGGCGGGGGCTGGAGGGCACCCAAAAGCAGCAGAGCCTCCTCACCTCGTGGCTCCTTGGCCCGCGGAGGCTCCCGCTTGCGCCGTTTCCGAGACGGCTTCACCCATGGGCTGTCTTTTCGCCATTTCTTCTTGGCCTTGCGCCGGCCACTGGAACCACTCTGGGAAGGGGGAGGAGGAGGAGTTAGGAACCCTCACCCCCAGGGGCCCCCCCAACACCTTCAGGACCAGACCTCCAGCCCCATAGTCTCCCACTCCTCTGGAGATATCAGCCTCCGTCTCTTACCCTATCTGACTGATTCCCTGACTCCTCATCTTCCTCTTCTTCTTCCTCTTCCTCCTCCTCTTCCTCTTCTTCTTCTTCCTCCTCTTCCTCCTCCTCCTCTTCACTTAGTTGTTCAGTTAGAGCTTCAACTTCAGACTGGGAGAGAGGCAGAACAGACATATCCAACCCCCAGGACTCAGACAATGAGGTGAGTAAAGAAAACCACCACCACCATTGCCCCCCGCCACTACCCACGGATGGCTGCTGGGGATAAGTGTGGGTAGCAGAGGAGACAAAGGGCCACATAAAGAGAGGGTGCATGGAATATTACACAGCAGTGAAAAAGTTACAGACAGCAATGTGCACAGATCTTGGTAATGTGATATTAAGTTAAAAAACAAAAAGCAAGTACCAGAAGATAAACATACTTTGATACCCCTTTTATGATGTTCATAAACAGGCAAGACCACCAATGGTTGCTAAAAACACTAGACACAAAGCTCATGAGAAACTTTATATGAAAGGTTCAGGCTGACATCACCTGAACCCACTGGTCAATCTTATCACTAACAAGAAAAATGACCAGATTAGATGTTCCATGCATCCTGATGTGATGTGGCCAGAAGCACTTGCACCCACTGTCAAGTCTTCTTGGCACCTGAAGCTGATTCCGCCTCTAGATCTATCAGTTTACAAGAAATATGGGCAGAGAGGATGTGTCAATCTCCACCCAATCAGCCAACTCCTAAATGTGAAAAATTCTGTAGGACAACTGAGCTGGTTTCTTTGACAAATAAATGGCAAAAAAAAAAAATCTTTCTTATTTATTTATTGAGTTTTGCTCTTGTTGCCCAGGCTGCATTGCAATGGTGTGATCTCAGCTCACTGCAACCTCCACCTCCTGGATTCAAGCAATTCTCTTGCCTCAGCCTCCTGAGTAGCTGGGATTATAGGCACCCGCCACCACACCCAGCTAATTTTCGTATTTTTATTAGAGATGTGTTTTCACCATGTTGGCTAGGCTGGTCTCAAACTCCTGACCTCAGGTGATCCACCTGCCTCCCAAAGTGCTGGGATTACAGGCGTGAGCCACCACGCCTGGGCCAAAAAATTTTTTTTTAGAAGATGAGGAAATCAGGCCAGGTGTGGTGGCTCACGCCTGTAATCCCAGCGCTTTGGGAGGCCGAGGTGGGCAGATCACGAGATCAGGAGTTTGAGACCAGCCTGGCCAACATAGTGAAACCCTGCCTCTACTAAAAATACAAAAAATTAGCTGGGCATGGTGGTGGGTGCCTGTAATCCCAGCCACTTGGGAGACTGAGGCAGGAGAATTGCTTGAACTCAGGAGGTGGAGCTTGCAGTGAGCCAAGATCACGCCACTGCACTCCAGCCTGGGTGACAGTGTGAGACTCCATCTCAAAAAACAAAAACAAACAAACAAACAAACAAACACAAAGAAGATGGGGAAACCTAAATACTGAGAGAGACCTAAGACAAAAAAAAATTTTTTTTTTTTTGAGACGGAGTTTCGCTCTTGTTGCCGAGGCTGGAGTGCAATGGTACGATCTTGGCTCACTGCAACCTCCACCTCCCAGGTTCAAGCGATTCTCCTGCCTCAGCCTCCCGAGTAGCTGGAATTACAGGCACGTACCACTACGTCCAGCTAATTTTGTATTTTTTTCAGTAGAGACGGGGTTTCTCCATGTTGATCAGGCTGGTCTCGAACTCCCAACCTCACGTGATCTGCCCGCCTTGGCCTCCCAAAGTATTGGGATTACAGGCGTGAGCCACTGTGCCTGGCTGACCTAAGACAAATGTTAATCAAATCAAGGTGTGGGCCTCATTTGGATCTTGACAAAAACCATTTGTGAGAGCTGAGGAAATGTGAAGACTGACAGGATATTTGATGGTATTAAGAAATCGGTAAGTTTTTTTAGGTGTGAAAACAGTAGTGTAATGATGTTGAACGACAAAAAGAGGCCTTATATTTACAAATCTATATGGATATATGTTTAGGTAAAATGATATGAGGTCTGGGATTTGCTTTAAAATAACCTAGTAGGTGTGTGTGCTGGGAGATGTACAGATGGGTCAAGATGGACTGTGTACTGATAATGGCTGGAGCTGTGTATTGGGTACATGGGGGCTCCCTATTCTACTCTTTTGATTATGCTTGCAAGTTTTCATGATAAAATGTTAAATAAAAGGCAAAATCAGAGAGACTAAACATTCTACTGTGTAGGCAAACATATAAGATAAAACCAGACAAAGAGCAACGAAATAAGCAAATAAATGACAATGCAATGCTTTTGAATTTTATATAAACAGCATAACGTATGTTTTAAAAAAGTGCTTTCTGGTCATTTCTTTTTTTGTTTTCTTTTTTTAAACAGTACATGTCTGTTAAATGGTCATTTCATTAGCTGATTAAAAAAAAAAGAATACTAAATCCCATGTGCAGGGTGGTGGCCACCTTTGTGGATGAAACGGGCAGAATACACATTGAAAATGAGTTACAGCTGGGCGCGGTGGCTCACAGCTGTAATCCCAGCACTTTGGGAGGCCAAGGTGGGTGGATCAACTAAGGTCAGGAGTTAGAGACCAGCCTGGCCAACACAGGGAAACCCCGTCTCTACTAAAAATACAAAAATTAGCCGGGCGTGGTGGCAGGTGCCTGTAATCCCAGCTACTCGGGAGGCTGAGGCAGGAGAATTGCTTTAACCCTGGAGACAGAGGTTGCAGTGAGCCCAGATCGTGATATTGCGCTCCAGCCTGGGCGACAGAATGAGATTCCGTCTCCCCCCACAAAAAAAAGGAGTTATAGACAGCATGGGGCAATGACTTAGTGGATATTCAGAAGATAAAAAGGACAGAAAGCAGAAAAACAGGGAACAAGGAGGACTGGACAGTGAGCCCCAGCCCTGGGGGAGCACCGGCGGGGAGGGCAGACCAGCTCTGTCTCACCTTGCTGTCGGAGTCCACGCGCTCATCCACAGAGTAGGAATCATAGTAGAGACTGAAGTCATCACCCACCACCGTCTCCCACTCCTCCAGGGACCCGGGGTCCCCTTTCGTCAGGGTCACTTCTCCTGAACGCCGGGCAGAACCTAACTCCTCCGACTAGAAAAAGATCAGAAAAATTGAGGCCACTGACACCCTGCGCATTTCTACTGAGGATGGGATGCAGCCCCACCTCTGACCCTCCCTCAGAGCAGCCCCCGAGGGGTAGAGGCTCTGCCTCTGCTGCTTACCAGGCCACCTCCTGAGTTCAGCTTCCTCCTTTTGGCCAGATCTGGAAGAAGAGAGAGAATGGTGTGGGGCCTATCACCGAAACCTTCAGAACAGACCACATCAAGCCACCGGGGGTGGGGGATGGGACTGACCTGAGGTCACCTTTCCCAGTGAGTGGACATCATCACTCATGCGGAAATGCTGTATTTCAGGGGGCCGCTTCTCAGGGACCGGGGGCTGTGGGCCGAGAGGGAGCACACTGAGGGTCAGAGAGCACCTACAGTTTTGCCTGGGTTAGCCTGGAGCCCCAGGCGGGGGTGGGGTAGTGAGCCACACCTCCAAATGCCATGTGAGGCTCCAGTAGCCACAAACTGGCAACCACGGGTGCTATTTCCTCAGAGGAAGAGTGTCAAGCACACTAACACTCACTCATCTCTGCAACCATGCAGAGCAGGCCCTTTTCCATTTTACAGATGAGAAAACAAAGCTTAATAAAGTTAAAAGACCTTTTATATGTGGCCATATACACAGCAGGACTGTTTACAACAGCTGAGGTGCGGAAGCAACTCAAGTGCCACTGACAGATGAATGGATAAGCAAAATGTGGCATTTATACACAATGGAATAACATTCAGCCATAAAAAGGAAAGATATACTTTTTTTAAGAGATAAGGTCTCATTCTGTTACCCTGGATGGAGTGCAGTGGCATGACTATGGCTCACTTCAGCCTCGAACTGGACTCAAGCCATTCTCCTGCCTCAGCTTCCTGGGAAGCTGGGATTACAGGCACATGTCACAATGCCTAACTAATGTCTTCTTAATTTTTTTTTTTGGTAGAGAAGAGGTCTTGCCATGTTGCCCAGGCTGGTCTTGAACTCCTGGTGTCAAGTGATCCTCCCCAGAAAGTACGGGATTACAGGCGTGAGTCACTGGGCCTGGCCTTTGAAACATTCTTTTAAACTTCTTTTAGAGATGGGGTCTTGGTATGCTGCCCAGGTGAAAGGAAAGAAATTCTGACATGGTACAACATAGATGAACCTTGAGGACATTATGCTAAGTGAAATAAGCCAGTCACAAAAGGATAAATACTGTATGATTACACTTAGATAAAGTACTTACTCAAATTTATAGAGAAAGAAAGGACAGTGGTCCTTGCCAGGGGCTAGGGGGTGGAGGGAATGGAGAGTTATGTTTTAATGGGTACAGAGTTTCAGTTTTACAAGATGAGTTATGGTGACTGATGATTGCACATGATGAAAGTATTTAATACCATTAAATTATATACTTAAAAATGTTTTTTATTTTATTTTTAAATTTTTAGATGGAGTCTCACTCTGTTGCCCAAGCTGGAGTGCAGTGGCGCAATCTCAGTTCACTGCAGCCTCTACCTCCCAGGTTCAAGCGTTTCTCTCACCTCTGCCTCCTGAGTAGCTGGAACTACAGGCACATGCCACCACGCCCGGCTAATTTTTGTTTTGTTTTTTTTTTTGAGACAGAGTTTTGCTCTTGTTGTCCAGGCTGGAGTGCAATGGCAGGATCTCGGCTAACTACAACCTCTGCCTCCTGGATTCAAGCGATTCTCCTGCCTCAGCCTCCCAAGTAGCGGACTGTTACAGGCATGTACCACCATGCCCGGCTAATTTTGTATTTTTAATAGAGATGGGGTTTCACCATGTTCGTCCGGCTGGTCTCGAACTCCTGACCTCAGGTGATCCACCTGCCTTGGCCTCCCAAAGTGCTGGGATTACATGCGTGAGGCACCCCGCCTGGCCTAATTTTTGTATTTTTAGTAGAGACAGGGTTTCACTATGTTGGCCAGGCTGGTCTCAAACTCCTGACCTCAGGTGATCCTCCCGCCTCGGCCTCCAAAATGCTGAGATTACAGGCGTGAGCCACTGCGCCTGGCCTAAAATTGTTTTTTAGATGGTAAATTTTACGTGACACTAGTCCCCTCTTATCCAGTTCATCAGCAGTGATGGTGGCATATTGTTAGAATTGTGCTATTTTTTTTGAGTCTCGCTCTGTTGCCCAGGCTGAACCGCAGTGGCGCGATCTTGGCTCACTGCAAGTGATTCTCCTGCCTCAGCCTCTCGACTAGCTGGGATTACAGGCGCACGCCACCACACCTGGCTAATTTATTATTATTATTATTATTATTTTAGTTAGAGACGGGGTTTGGACATGTTTACCAGGCTGGTCTCGAACTCCTGACCTCAAGTGATTGCCGGCCTTGGCCTCTGAAAGTGTTGAGATTATAGGCAAGCCACGCCTGGCCTACTGTTAGGATTACGCTATTATGTTATTATTGTTGTTAATCTCTCACTGTACCTAATTTATAAATTCAATTTTCCTTTTCTTCCCTATTCTTTACAAAATGAATTGCAACTATAAAAATTAATGTTTATCATAGTGAGAAAGGAAAGGTAGCTCATAGCAACCTGTGCTATGTGAAGCAGGCAAAATTGATCAGGCTCAGCGAGAAGTCAGCATGGAACGGTTAGGGCCCATGCCTGGAGGCAACTGCTTAAAGGCATTTTGTACCTGACTAGGGTGCTGCTTCACCCATTATCTTCATGTGCCTAATATCTGTGAGACAAAGAACAATGTATAGCAGATCAATAGCTTGTTATTCTAATGTAAACTGGTAAACAATTTAGGAACTGCCTCTTCTTTTCCTTTGTTATTTCTTCAATCTTTTAAAAAATTTTTATCTTTTTTTTTTTCTTTTTGCGGCTCCTTCCAGAGCAGGGCTAACTCCTACGCAGTGTGCCCAGAGTCAGCCTGTTTTTTTTCAATATCTTCACGTCATCCAATCTTCTTTTCCTTTAAAAACCTACTTGTGGGCTGGTTGTGGTGGCTTGCACCTGTAATCCCAGCACTTTGCGAGGTCAAGGCAGGAAGATTGCTGAAGCCCAGCAGTTTGAGACCAGCCTGGGCAACATAGTGAAACTGTCTTCAAAAACAAAACAAAACAAACAAAAAAAACCCTACTTATAACTGCTGCTAATCAGAGTGTATTTTCACGGCAACTTGAATCTTTGCTCCTAAAGGCTGTCCTCAAAACCTGACCAAATATACTTTACTTAATGTTAAGTTTGCCTCAGTTTTTTCCTTTAGGTCAACAATAGGTATGACCCAAGAACCCTAGAACTTGGTCATAAAGCTTCTGGTGCCCTTGTCACTTCCCTCCTCTATTATTTCTGTGGCCCTCATCTCCTTTCCCACTGGGATTCCCAGGAAAAACTTTACAAATAGAGCAGTGACAGATGAGTTCCCCAAGGGCTTGCTTTGAGGTAGAAAGGAAGAGTGGTTTGAAATTCCCTTACCTTGTCATTATCATAAGAGTAATTAAGACATTAACTATATAATTGACTCTTTAACATCAAACTTTCACCACCCAAGAATGTAAACTGCAGGAAGAGAGGAACCTGTCTGTTGGTTCACAGATCAAGCACAGCCTAATATTTGACACACAGCAGCCCCTTGCTTAAATATGTGAATGAGTAAATGGAGTAGAAGCCTTAAGTGAAACTGTAAAAGAGCTCACCAAAGGTTTATGGTTGATTATCCCATCTCTCCCATCCCACTCACCTGTCCATTTCCTGGTTTGGACATGGTTTTGCGGGCTCGGTGGACCTTGGGCTGTCCCTCTGGGCTCGTGGTGGCTGGAGGGGGTTCAGACCCTGCTGCTGCAGCTCCCTGGGCTCCTGGCATACTCAGTAGCCTCATAGCCAAACTCTGGACAGATGGAGGTGATTTTCCCGCCCCTGTCATTGACATCTTGGCCCGGCTAGGACAGGAACCCCCCTTGCTGGGGGAAGAGGGGAATGACTTTGTGGCATGGCCTAGAAAACAAGCAAGCAAAAGGCAAGATAAGAAAGAAGGCAAGAGTCAGAAATTTCCCACCAACCCCCCAGGCTACCCAGCCTCTCACCCAGCAGGATCCGGCCCCCACGGAGGTCCCCATCTCCCTCAAGATTCTCAGATTCATCCCCAATGAGTGGTGTAGCCCCTACAGGGGTGTCAGCCCCCTCATCACCAACAGTGACAGTGACAGAGGCTGGAGATGAGGGGCCAGCAGGCTCCAGGGAGTCGGGGTTGGCCTTGGGCAGGGTTTCTTCACTACGAGGGGTGTCCCCCAAAGAGCCATGAACTGTAGAGGAAGAGAAAAAGTTCAGAGCTAAGGGCTCAGGAGATCCTGTGTTTAGGGAAGGTGACGGTCCAACTGGGGCCCGTTTTAGCTGCACTCACCTCTCTCGGTGGCTCCTCTGGTTTCCTTCTCCAGCAGCAGCGCCCCCATCTCAGCGGGGGCCTCCCCCTGGGAGGGGAGACAAGGGACAGGAGGGCTGGTCAGCCCAGTAGAGAGTTGGGGGGTCCAGGATGCCTGGGCCCTGGGAAGAGAGAGTAGGCTCCGGGGCCTACCTCTTCCTCTGTGGGGCCCCCCCCTTCCGCGGCCTCGGCTGCCCGGAGGGGCCGCACGACCCCTCCCCCGGGCCCGCATCAACCCCCTCCCTCTCGGTAGACCCCGCATCTCTGGGGCCGAGAGAAGAGGAGGGGGAGGGGGCGGGGCCTCCGCGCCCCGGCCCCGCCCCCTCCTCCCGGCTGCACGCGCCGCTCCCCCTTTGTCCCCCAGGCCGCGGGGACCCCGGGCACCAACCCCTCCAGCACCCGCTGCCCCCCAGCCCGGTGGACGGCCCCTCGTGCCCCTCACGCGTGCTCCTGGGGCCCCGGCGCCCGTCGCCCACTCAGGGGCAGCCGGCGGCTGCACGCGCGCCTCCGTGCCCACTCCCCCCACCTCCCACACCCTGGTCCCCTCATCCGCCCCCGGTGCTGGCCCCCTGGATTGCTGCAAGTCCCGCCCGGGCCCCCCGGCCCCGTTGCACCCCCGGAGCATTGCACGGGCGCGCGCTTCCCCCGGGCGCGCGCGCGGGCATGCACCCGCCTCTCCCCCTCCCCTTCCGCACCTCGGCGGCCGCCGCCGCTGCAGCTCCCGCCGCCGCCGCCATCGCCGCTTGCGCTGGGGGCCGAGCCGGCGCGCGGCCGCCCCGGGTCACGTGGGCGAGGGAGGGAGGGCGAGGAGGAGCCTTAAAGGAGCCGCTACATGCTTTTTGGCCATTTTCCCCTGAGAGCGGCCTCGGAGATGGCTGTGACTGTCCTAAGCTGGGAGCTGCAAGGGAGAATTCCTGTCATTCCTGGCCTCAGTTCTGCAGGGACCGAGGGCGAGACACGCCTGGGCCCAGGTGTGGCGTCTCTGTCCCCATCTGGTTTTAGGTAACAAGCGGAGCTTCTGAACTTCTCGGCTCTCGGCAGCGGCTGTATTTCCTCTGGCCTGGTTGGGCTTTTCCCGCCTCTGGTTGCTTTTCTGCCTTTCTAGTTTTTGGGTTACCAGATAGAAGGCTTGGCCTCAGTTTTGGCCTCGCCTTTTTGCTCTTTCTAACGAGCACGAAGGGGCGATAGGGACGCGGAGGACACCTTTATTCTTGGCTGGTTCTAGCATGCTGCTTCATGTCCCCTGGAGCAGCGTGCCCTTCTGAAAACCTGTGGCTAAATGTCTCTTCTGTTTATATCAGGCGTGTTACACCTTCACACGCACTAGGGATCCAGGTAAGCCCAGCGGCCCGAACGTCATTACTGACTGGTGACACTGCAGTAAGTAAACCTTTTTTGCCGAACACTTCATAAGCACAGTCAGGTACTCCGTGGGTCATAGCCCAGCGGACAATTTAAGTATAAATGATATACACCAAGATAGACAATCTCGATAGCTGTATTTAGGGTACCATCCCTTTAGGTATTACGTTTTGGTCGAGTTTGGAAAAGATCTGTATGATTTCACACGCAGTATTTGACACAGGCAGGTGGGGCACCTGAGGCCAATTAAAGGCCTTCTGGGAACTGTAGTTCTCTTTGGTTAACTATTCCAGAGCTTTCTGGGAATTGTAGTTTTCCCTGCACCTTAATCCAAACTTAGCTTTTTTTTTTTTTTTTTTTAGCTTTCCTGAAGACATGACCTATTTACCCCAGACAAAATATGACCAAACAGACTCCTGCTTACAATTTCCGTGGGCAGGTTGGCCACCTGTAGCTCATCCCTAGCACTGATCCTAAGTCCCTCAAATAGAGTTCATGTGCATCCCCACGACTGCCAATCACTTGTACTGTGAGGTACCTGGCTAAGTGTTGAGATTGCAGAACTGGTGGAGGGCTGGGGGTGGGGACTTGGGGGAGTCCCTGACCAGAGGAGCTCACTTGTCACACTCCTCTCCCATGTTTAGGGCTGGGCTCCTTCAGGCAAGGGATATGCAGAGTTGTGACCTCTAGGTATTAAGAACGCAGCATCACAGGGAGAGGCTGTCTAGGGCAGGATAGTCATGTACACGCAGTTGCCAGAGTGTAAAGGAAAAAAAAAAAGTTTTTTTTTGTTTTTTATTTTGTGGAAAACAAAAGCAGAAAAACTAAAACCCCAAACTCCAGAAAAAATCCTAAAAAATATGTTTTTTCTTAAAAAATACTGTATGTCTCTACTCCTCTCCCTCCCTCCCAACAGCCCTTCTTGTGTTCTTTCTTTTCTAAGTGCCCTATCCCCCCCACCCCCATGACTATCCATTGTTTCTTGCTATTGTACCCCCACTTCCCAATATCTACCCAGGATGCGCACCCCACGTTCTCTTACCTGGCGTCTTACTTTGTTCTCCCTCAAATTTCAGCAAGCCTCATACTCGCAGTCTCATTTCCCCAGCATGCAAGAACTGTCTCCCACTTCCTTTTCTGGGACTCAGTAATCTTTTCCCCTTACCACTCCCTCACCCCAGGTCTATTCTAAGCAGGAGCATGTCCTCCTGCCAAATTCCCTCCCTGTTCCCACCCACCCCCCAACCCTTCTTATCTCGAGAAATGTCAGAACCTTCCCCTGGGCAGCCTTAGCCAGGAATAAAACATTTTTGTCTTCCCTCATTCTATAGGACCCTTTTCCCTCCCTCCACATATACATGCACTTCTAAGAGAAGGAAATCTTTCTCTGGGACCCCGTATTCCCCTGGCCTCCAAGAACCCTTTTCCCAGCTCCAGATTCTTGCACTCTCAAGAGCAAGTCTCTCCAAGGAATCATCTTCCCTCTCTCAGGATGTGTGCATCTGCTCAGCCTCCCACTCTTACCTTTCTGCCCCAGACCCCCCACCCCCCAATTCTCCTGGGCCAAAGAGCCCTTTTTCCACGCAGCCCAGGGGCCCCAGCCTCCTGGCCTCCACGCCTGCGCGGCTAGCGGATGAGGACGTTAATCTCGGCCACACTGGCCTCCAGCACGTTCTCGGCCGTGGTCTTGCCGTGTTGCTCCTTGAGGTGCCGCCTAATGGCAGGCTTGTGGGCGAAGCGCACGTCGCAGTAGGAGCAGCGGTAGGGCCGCGCTCCCGAGTGCAGGTTGAGGTGGTCGTGAAGGGTGGACTTCTGTGTGAAGCACTTGCCGCAGATGCCGCACGAGTGTGACTTGACACCACGATGCACGTTCATGTGGCGGTTGAGGTTGCTGCTGTGGTTGAACTGCTTGCCACAGCGAGGGCACATGAAGATGAAGTGCTGCGCCCGCATGTGGAAGACCAGCTTCTCCACGCCCTGGAACACTTCCGGGCACTTGGTGCACTTGATGTTCTTTAAGGGGTTTCCACCTGAGAAGCCCCCAGGCAGGGGTCCCCGGCTGCCCCCCGCCCCCAGGCTGCCCCCCGCCCCCCGGGCAGCCATGGCCACCGCTGCTGCTTCCACCAGGCCCGAGGTGGCCCCCACGCTGGCCCGGCCTCCGGGAATCAACAGCAGGCCCTCCCCTTCTGCATCTTCCGACAGGCTATAGCAGGCCTTCACCACACCCTGCGGTGGGGCTACAGTGCTGGGGGGAACGCTGCTCTGGGCCAGCTCCCCAAGGTGGCCACCCACGGAGCCTCCAATGCCCAGACCCCCTCCCAGGCCTCCAGGGGGTTTGAGCCGGTGTGCCACCTCCAGGGCCGACTCCACCTTGACGATGCAGATGTCAGACACGTCCTCATCCTCATCCTCATCCTCTTCCTCGGCTTTCAGCTCCAAGTCTTCATCCAGTGGGAACTCCAGCTTCACTGGCCGCAGGAGTGGAGGGGGTAGAGGAGGTGGGGGTGGGGGCTTCGGGGCTGGCTTTGGGGTCCTGGCTGGAGGGAGGAGGGACTTGGTGGCGCTGATGCTGCTCACAAGGCTAGCCTCACTGACCCCATCCTCTTTGAGGCCTATTTTGGGCTCAATGAACTGGCTGAGGGCATTCCGGCATTTCTCCACCACGTGCTCCATCTGCAGGTAGGAGGCGGCTGTAAGGTAGTTGACGATGTCCCTAACAGCGAATTCCAAGGCGCCCGTGTAGCAGGAGAGGAGCAAGTCGGCCACGATGCGTGCACTGTGCATCAGGGAGACCTGCAGCTCCGAGCTGGGGTTCAGCAGGAACTGGTCCCGCAGGAAGGGTGAGCAGGCGGCCAAGATGACCTTGTGGCCTCGAAACTTGAGGCTGTCGGCCACAATGGTCACGTCGCAGAACCGCTCCTCTGCCCGGAGCTGGTTCATGTTCCGTAGCGTTGCGGCCTCGTGGCCGGGCAGCTGGAAGCGCAGGACTTCCACCCCAGAGGCCATTGTGGCGGGGGTGGGCAACCCTGGTTGGGAAGGAAACCGGTCAGAGACAAAGGTCTCTGGCTCTCCGAAGCCAAGGCTCCAGGACCCTCGCCCCCATTCTTGCCCAGCCCCCCGGCATCCGATCTCCCGGTCTTCAGATTTCTTCCTCAGTTTCCCCAACCCTGGGGAGGTGCTGTCCCTCTGAGAGGAGGGAGGCGTGGTTCTCGGGGGCGGGGCAGCGGCGTCCACACCCCCCAGCCCAGCAGCCCGCTAGGATGGGGCGAGCCCGCGCGCCCACGGTGGAAGGACGGAGAAAAAGGGGGGCCAGAGGCCTGGGGCTCTGGACTCCAAGGTGGCCCCGGTTGCAGGCTCTTCTCACCCCGCCCCCTTTACCGGCTGCCTCATTCCTCCGCCCCCCCCTTACACGTTTGCACGCGCTTTTCACGTCCTCCCCCCCGCCGCCAGCACGCACCGTGCACGCCCTGCCCCCACGCTCAGAGCTCCGTGGCACGCCCCCCCAGCCCCACGACCCTGAGTGCACGCTCCTCTCACCTGGCCCGGTTCCGCGCGCTGTTTTTTTAATCCCTTATTTTCCCCACCCCCCCCCGGGGTCGGCAGCGACCCCCACACACGGGCAGGGCCTGGGCAGCGCGCAGGCGCGGGGATGCACGGGACGCGCGCGCGCGCGGGGCCGGCTCCGCGTGGGCGTAAGGGGGGAGGGGCGGGGGCGGCTCGTGCCGTGTGTTCCAGGCCCCGCGCGCGCGGCGGCGGCGGCGTCGGCTAGGACTCGGGGAGGAGGAAGAGGGGAGGGAATTAAAGGAGCAGGATCCCCCCTTCCCGACCCCCCTTTCTTCACCAGCACCCCCACGCGGTTAAAGGGCCGGACGGCCTTGCCTCCTCTTTGGCCGGGATTATTTGTCCGCCAGAGCGGAAATACGTTCCACACCCCCCTCTTTCTCGCTCCCCCTCCTCTGTACCTCCAAGCCCCGCGGCCAGTTTGCGCGTGCGTGCCAAGTGCCGCGCGGAGGCCCGCTCACTCGGGCCCGCCCCCCAATCCCGGCTGCCCATGGCGCTACTCGCTCCGCGTCCCCGCGCCCCGCCCGCGCCGCATCCCGCAGCGCGCGCGCGCACCCGTTCTCTCGGCTGCGGGCGCTGCCACCTGCTCCCAGGGGTGGTGCGTCTCCGGTCCAGCTGTGCCGAGCGCTGCCCTGGGTGCATCCGTGGCACCTCTCAGGGCCCCATCCGCCCCGTGGCTAACAGAGCTGTTGGTAGCTATTACCCACGCCTGCCTCCTCTGCTGAGTGTGCTCACAGTTGCTCCAGACACATTCCCAGGCTTTTCCAACTCTTGTAAAGCTAGTAACCGCCTCAGCCCTTCAGGCCTGAAATATGATTTCACTTTCCACAAAGCCAGACGATCCAGTGCCCTCAACTTTCCTCCACTCCATGTCAGTCCTTTAAAATCACACCCGCCCTCCCCTCCATTCTCAGGATTGATCCCAACTTCTTGCCAAGGCAGTCGCCCTCCGCTTGTGCTATCGATGACCTTGCCCATTTCACCTTTAGTATATAATTAACCCTAGGACTAATTTTAATGATGTGATTTATTATGTTAGTATGATTCTACTCTAATCTTCCACCGCTCCGTCCCCCTTATTCCTCACCTCTCCTCCAGACTGACAAGGTCCAGCTCTAAACAAAACTTCCCTTCAACACTGCGCCCGGGCCTTCTCTTTCTCTTGTCTCTCTCAGACTAAGTTATAGTCTCCACAGCTTCAGCGACAGCACTTAGGAGCGTCTTGAAGGCTGGTGCCTTCCCTTCCACTTCCTCGTACCTACACCCACTTCCCCACCTATCCAAGTCCGCGTGAAGATGCCACTGTTTCCTGCCAATTGGATTTCTTTTTTACGTCCTTCAGGAGACTAGTGCGTTTTCCTTACATTTCAATTCTGATGAAGTTTCTTATTATGTGTTCAATATCTGGTTTCCCCATTAGACTATAAACTTCTTGGTTGCAGGAATTATGTTGTGGGTTTTGTTTTGCAAATAAAAATCATGCAATAGGGAGGGTGTGGTGGCTCACGCCTGTAATCCCAGCACTGTGGGAGGCCGAGGCAGGTGGATCACCTGAGGTCAGGAGTTCGAGACCAGCCTGGCCAACATGGTGAAACCCTGACTCTACTAAATATACAAAAATTAGCTGGACGTGGTGGCAGGTGCCTGTAATCCCAGCTACTGGGGAGGCTGAGGCAGGAGAATCGCTTGAACCTGGGAGGTGAAGGTTGCAGTGAGCCTAGATTGCGCCATTGCACTCCAGCCTGGGCGACAGAGCAAGACTCCTTCTCAAAACAAAACACCAAAAAAGGTCATGCAACAAATGATTGTTGAAGTAATTCCTCTTTGGCTCAGCCAGCATCCACCCATAAAAAGTTTGTTCTTGAGCTGAAACTGAATTCTTGAACTCAAGGGATGCTGTTTGGCAGGAGGGTGGAGGCAGCGTAGACAGTGTTTAGGTGGTACCTTGACTTTTTGCCTTTTTCTTTTAAATTCTCTGATTTGTATGCCCGCACCCAGTTCCCTCTGTTGAATCTAAGAGTCTGTTCTAAACTGCTCTCTTTGTATTTAGGCCTTGTAGATTTGAGGAAGAACACCTGATTTTGTGTCAGACGCACCTAGGCTTAAAGCCACATTCCTAGGAGTTTCTGAGCCTACTCTGGCTCAGAAGGCTGCCAGATTCGCAAATCATTAAAAAAATAAAATAAAAGCCCTATTCCTGTACCAAATGAGGCCCACTGGGCAAGTTACTTAATTCTCTGAATCACAGTGTCCTTATCTTTGTCTCCCCCGCCCATCCTTAGCTCATCTGAAAGCATTTTTATCTTGAAGGCCCTGATCTCTCACAGGGCTAATGTGAGGTTTAAATGAGCCTGGCATGCAGTAGTTGCTGAGTAAACAATAGCTCTGTTCTCCTTTTCCTAATCTGGGAAACGGACTATGAAATTTTCAAAAGAATTTTATTTTATTTTAATTAATTAATTAATTTATTTAGCTGGAGTTTTGCTCTTGTCACCCAGGCTGGAGTGCAATAGCACGATCTTGGCTCACTGCAACCTCCGCTTCCCAGGTTCAAGTGATTCTCCTGCCTCAACCTCCCAAGTAGCTGGGATTACAGGTGCCCGCCACCATGCCTAGCTAATTTTCGCATTTTTAGTAGAGACGGGGTTTCACCATGTTGGCCAGGCTGGTCTCGAACTCCTGACCTCGGGTGATCCACCTTGCTCAGCCTCCCAAAGTGTTGGGATTACAGGCGTGAGCCACTGCGCCTGACCCAAAAGAACTTTAAAAATTCTGTTTTTCTATCTCATCTCTTCTTTTCCGCATTGCCAAACTTCTCAGAAGAATAGTTCACATTCCAGTGAGAGCAGAAATACAAAAAGCTGTCAAGTTAAGAATTAGAGTTTGTAAAATTTTGTTTCTTGTCCCTTTCTTCCTACTTTTCCTTTCTAGGAATGTAGATGGGACAGGGGGCCTAATCTCAGCCCATGGCTCAAGACAGGTAGTCCTTGGTGGCAGGTGGAGTTGACAGCCAATGAATCCTTCAAGTGTCCAGCCCACCCAGTTACAACTCTGCGTAAAAACAAGCAGAGGTGCACAAACTCTTTTCCATGTAGTCTGGTGGAGAGATGATGTGGAGCCATTTCCCATGCATCCCATCCAGGGGGTTTACAATCATCTAGATCCTTGTCCCTTCTTCCCCAACTTCTGCCAGTATAAAACCAGGGGCTTTCCTGTCCTTAGCTTGCAGTACCAAATGCCTTGGTGTGGTGTCAAGAACAGATAAATTTAGGAGATACTTTTAGGATTTTTGGGTCAGGCTCAATGGTTCATTCCTGTAATCCCAGCACTTTGGGAGGCCGAGGCAGGAGGATCCCTTGAGCCCAGCAGTTTGAGACCAGTCTGGGCAACATAGCAAGACCCCATCTCTACAAATAATAAGAAAATTAGCAGGGCATGATGGTGTGTATGTGCTTGGGATCCCAGTTACATGAGAGGCTGAGGTGGGAGGACTGCTTAAGCCCAGGCAGTTGAGGCTGCAGTGAACCATGATAGTGCCACTGTACTCCAGCCTGGGCAACAGAATGAGACCCTGTCTTTTAAAAAAAAATTAGGATTCTTAGTGAGCTTTAGAAATAAAATCTGGGCTGGGCACTGTGGCTTATGCCTGTAATCTCAGCACTTTGGGAAGCTGAGGTGGGAGGATCACTTAAGGCCGGGAGTTTGAGACCAGCCTGGGCAACAAAGCGAGACACCTGTCTCAAAAATAATAATAAATAAAAGTAAATACATTTTTTAAAGGAAATAAAATTTGACTAGGGATGCAAGGAATAACTAGGAGACAAAAGGTCCAGGTTCCAGTCCATCTTGAAGTCATCAAGGCTCCCCAGGTTTCAGTATTCTCTTTAATAAAATGGAGGGATTACTCTCTGAAGTATTTTCCAGTCCTATGAGTCCATAGCAGCTTACTTTGAAAAGGGGTGTTTATGTTTGTGGGCATCTCTGAGAGAAGCTAGCTCACAGCTTAGAGCACTACCCTTGGCTACTCATAGAGGTAAGGAGTGGCCTTGATAATCCAAAACCGTAGCAAACATTGGACATTTGTCTAAGACATTCAAAGTATTTTAGGCTGTGGGCTTACTTTTTACAACGATGCTTAGCACGTACTAGAATAACCATATTTCCTGAGCAATCTATAGGAAAGGAAGAGGTAAGTCAGCCTGGACTTTTAAATCCATAGGCTGATGAAACTGTCTTACATTACAACAAAACCTCCAACTTCTTTCTCTTTCTCCTTTGATCTGCACTCAGCTCTGCCCTCAGCGCAGGAACCCTGGTAAAAACTGCAGGATGTTTTGGCAATGTTGGAAGGGGCTTACTGCTTGGGGAAAGAAGCCATGTGAAAACAAAGTGCCTGCACCACTCCCATCCATCTGCAAAACCACCTTTTCTGAACTCCCATCCATCCCCCTTGACTGCTCCTCAATGCTGGCTCCTCCTCCTTCTTCAGAGCTCCTTATCCCTAGCTCTTCGGAGCCCTCTCCCAGCCTCAACCTGCCTCCAGACAAACTCTTCCCTCCCCCTCCTACCTCGGAGGGAATTTACTCCCTGCAGCCCACCACCTTTGCCATCGTCCAAGTCCTCCACACACCCTTGCTGACTCTGCCCAGATCCAGGTCTATCTGGGGAAATGGAGGCAGATTCTCCCAGCACCTTGTGAATTCCAGACAGAAAAAGACTCTTCCACTTCTCGACAAATATTCTATCCTCTGAGCCTCACCAAGTCTGCTCTGCTACCCTATGTCATCCTTGCTGCTTGAGCAACTGACTTTCGGGCCTGTGATACCTGCCTGGATCAGGTTGTCCTCCCCAGGCCTGCCTGTGTCCCTGCAAATGACCTAATCCATATCCCAAGTTTAAAAAAAAAATTGTTCATTTTATTTTTTTCATGGAGTCATTCGTGAGAGCAGAAATACAAAAAGCTGTCAAGTTAAGAATTAGAGTTTGTAGGGCCGGGTGCAGTGGCTCACACCTGTAATCGCAGCACTTTGGGAGGCTGAGGTGGCCGGATCATTTGAGGTCAGAAGTTTGAGAACAGCCTGGCCAACATGGTGAAACCTCGTTTCTACTGAAAATGCAAAAAAAATTAGCTGGGCGTGGTGGTGCATGCCTGTAATCCCAGCTACTCAGGAGGCTGACGCAGGAGAATTGCTTGAACCTGGGAGGCAGAGGTTGCAGTGAGTTGAGATCACGCCACTGCACTCCAGCCTGGGTGACAAGAGTGAAACTCTGTCTTAAAAAAAAAAAAAGCAAAATAAAAGCATTAGAGTTTGTAAAATTTTGTTTACAAACTCAAAATTCAAAGTTCAAAATTCAAAATGTAGTTTTGTTCAAAATTCAAAATGTGTAAGTACAATTCCAAATTCAAATTGTAAAGTTTTGTTCAAAATTTAAAAAATATAAGAGGGTACAAGGCTGGGTGTGGTGGCTTACGCCTGTAAACTCAGCACTTTTGGGAAGCCAAGGGAAGAGGATCACTTGAAACCAGCCTGGGCAACAAGGCAAAACCCAGTCTCAGAAAAAAAAAAAATAGCTGTGGGAGGTGGTGTTGCCTGTGGTCGCAGCTATTCAACAGGCTGAAGTGGGAGGATTGATTCAGCCCAGGGAGGAGAAGGCTGCAGTGAGCCTTGTTCGCACTGCTGCACTCCAGCTTGGGTGATGGCGCAAGACCCTGTCAAAAAAAAAAAAAAAAAAAAAAGTGGTTTCTTTTGCTCAGGCTGGAGTACAGTGGTGCAAAGAAGGCTCACTGCAGCCTCGACCTTCCTGGACTAATTTATTTATTTATTTTTTAGACAGAGTCTTGCTCTGTCGCCAGGCTGGGGTGCAGTGGCACAATCTCGGCTTACTGCAACCTCCACCTACCAGGTTCAAGTGATTCTCCTGCCTCAGCCTCTGGAGTAGCTGGGACTACAGGCGTGCGCTACCACTTCTGGCTTTTTTTTTTTTTTTTTTTTTTTTGAGATGGAGTTTCGCCCTTGTTGCCCAGGCTGGAGTGCAATGGTACAATCTCAGCTCACTGCAACCTCTGCCTCCCAGGTTCAAGCAATTCTCCTGCCTCAGCCTCCTGAGTAGCTAGGATTACGGACGTCTGCCACCACGCCCAGCTAATGTTTTGTATTTTTAGTAGAGATGGGGTTTCACCATGTTGGCCAGGCTGGTCTTGAACTCCTGACCTCATGATCCGCCCACCTCAGCCTCCCAAAGTGCTGGGATTACAGGCATGAGCCGCAGCACCCGGCCATTTTTTTTTTTTTTTTAATTAAAAGTGGCAAGACTGGGTCTTCCCGTGTTGCCCAGTCATTGATCTTGAATTCTTGGGTTCAAGTGATACTCCTGCCTTGGCCTCCCAAAGTGTTGAGACTACAGGCATGAGCCACCGTGCTCGGCCCAGATAAATCTTTTTATAAAAGTTAGAGTCAGTAGATACAGCAAATTTCATTGTTGTCTTATTTTAAGAAATTGTTGGCTGGGTGGGGTGACTCACTCCTGTAATCCCAGCACTTTGGGAGGCTGAGGTGGGCGGATCACCTGAGGTCAGGAGTTCGAGGCCAGCCTGGGCCAACATGGTGAAACCCAATCTCTACTAAAAACACAAAAATTAGCTGGGTGTGGTGGGGGTGCCTGTAGTCCCAGCCACTTGGGAGGCTGAGGCAGGAGAATTGCTTGAACCCAGGAGATGGAGGTTGTAATGAGCCGAGATTGCACCACTCCACTCCAGCCTGGGTGACAGCATGAGACTTCATCTCAAAAAAAAAAAAAAGAAAAAAAGAAATTGTCAAAGCCATCCCAACCTTCAGCAACCACCACCCTAATCAGTCAGCAGCTATCGATATCAAGATAAAATCCTCCACCAGCAAAAATGTTACAACTCACTAAAGACTCAGATGACTGTTAGCATTTTTTAGCAATACAGTATTTTAAAATTAAGGTTACATACATTGTTTTTAGACGTATGCTATTGCACACTGAATAGACTACAGTACAGTGTAAACATAACTTGTGTGCACTGGGAAACCAAAAAGTTGTTGATATGACTGGCTTTATTGAGGGGATCTGGAACGAAGCCCAAAATATCTCTGAGGTATGACCGTGTATACTTCATTTGCTTATTGTAATAGTTTCAGTATCTATGCAGTTGTAGGTTTTCCCGGACAGTTTAGTTTTGTCTGTTTGACCATCACACAGATGAATCATACTGTACATGTTCTGGGGCTGGCCTTTTCACTCAACATTATGGTTTTGTTGACTTGTGTAGCTGTAATTCATTCATTGTCTTTTAATTGGATGCTTATACTAGAATTTGTTTGTATACCTATTTACAGTTCTTTTGGATATATACCTAGGAGTGGAACTGTTGGATTATATGGCAATTATATGTTAAATTTTTAACGTATTATTATTATTATTTTTTTTTAGACAGGATCTCTGTTGACCAGACTGGAATGCAGTGGTGTGATCTTGGCTCACTGCAACCTCCACCTCCCAGGCTTAGCCTCCCGCCTTAGCCTCCCGAGTAGCTAGGACTACAGGTATGCACCACCATGCCTGGCTAATTTTTGCATTTTTGTAGAAACAGGGTTTCACCATGTTGCTCAGGCTGGTCTGGAACTCCTGAGCTCAAGGGATCCGCCTGCCTTGGCCTCCCAAATTGTTGAGATTATAGGCGTGAGCCATGGCATTTGCTCCCCCGCCCACCTCTTTTTTTTTTTTTGTAGAGATGAAGTCTTGCTGTGTTTCCCAGGCTGGTCTCGAACTGCTAGGCTCAAGCGATCCTCCAGCCTTAGCTTCCCAAATTCCTCTCAGCCTGGGATCACAGGCGTGAGCCACTGTGCCCACCCTATATGTTAAACCTTTTGAGGAACTGCCAAACTGTTTTCCACAGCAGCTGCACCATTTTATGTTCCCACCAGGAGATTGTACACAAGCTTCAATTTCTCCATATCCTTGCCAACAGTTGTTATTTTCTGTTTTTTTTTGTTTTTTGTTTTTTTTTGAGACAGCGTCTCACTCTGTTGCCCCGGCTAGAGTACAGTGGTGCGATCTTGGCTCACTGCAACCTCTGCCTCCCGGGTTCAAGGGATTCTCCTGCCTCAGCCTCCTGAGTAGCTGGGACTACAGTCACGCGCCACCACGCCTGGCTAATTTTTGTATTTATAGTAGAGATGGGGTTTCACCATATTGGCCAGGCTGGTCTCGAACTCCTGACCTTGTGATCCGCCCACCTCAGCCTCCCAAAGTGCTGGGATTACAGACGTGAGCCACCGCGCCTGGCTTGTTTTTTTTTTTAAATAGACATTCTAGTTGATATGAAGTTGTACTCATTATAGTTTTATTTTCATTTACTTAATGACTAATGATGTTGAGCATCTTTTCATGTCCTTGTTGGCCATTTGTGTGTCTTCTCTGGAGAAATATCTATTCAAGTCCTTTGCTCATTTTTTTTTTTTTGACAAGGTCTCACTCTGTTGCCCAGGCTGGAATGCACAATCATGACTCACTGCAGGCTTGACCTCCCCAGGAACAGGTGATCCTCCCACCTCAGCCTCCAGAGTAGCTAGGACTACAGGCACACGCCACCACACCCAGCTAATTTTTGTTATTTGTTGTAGAGACAGGGTTTTGCCATGTTGCTCAGGCTTAGAAGGCTTTCAAGCACAAAATGTATTACATTAGGATAATGTCTTGGGGGTAGAAATAGAACTATGAAAATAAGAATTCAGAAGAAATAGAACAATGTGAAATTTCTGACTGTTAAAGAAGATTATAATCATGTACTTTAAAAATGAATCATGAGCCCAGCACGGTGGCCCACGCCTGTAATCCCAGCACTTTGGGAGGCTGAGGCAGATGAATCACTTGAGGTCAGGAGTTCAAGACCAGCCTGGCCAACATGATGAAACCCCATCTCTACTAAAAATACAAAAATTAGCCAGGCGTGGTGGCGCATGCCTGTAATCCCAGCTACTCGGGAGGCTGAGGCAGGATAATCTCTTGAACCCGGGAGGCAGAGGTTGCAGTGAGCCGAGATCGTGCCACTGCACTCCAGCCTGGGTGACAGAGCAAGCTTCCATCTTAAAAATAAAATAAAAAATAAATAAATAAAATGAATTGGGCTGGGTGTGGTGGCTCATGCCTGTAATCCCAGCACTTTGGGAGACCAAAGCGGGTGGATCACCTGAAGTCAGGAGTTCGAGACCAGCCTGAGCAACAAGGTGAAACCCCGTCTCTACTAAAAATACGAAAATTAGCCAGACGTGGTGGCAGGCACCTGTAGTCCCAGCTACTCGAGAGGTGGAGGCAGGAGAATTGCTGGAACCTGGGAGGCGGAGGTTGCAGTGAGCCGAGATGGCGCCACTGCACTCCAGCCTAGGAGACAGAGGGAGACTCTTGTCTCAAAAAATAAACAAATAAATACATAAAAAAAAAAATAAAATGAATCATGAAGGGAATGGTTAAAAAGTGAAATAAGACTTTTTAAAAAAGATCCATGTTTACAACACACTGGAATGGCATTCTTTTGCAACTAAACATTTGGGGAAAGTTTTAGATAGCAGCATAAAAACATGCAAGGGGTACATAATTTGCAAAATTCTTTTAATGTGAGCAAAAGGGTTTGAAGATTACATGCTTCTTGAAATCAGCATGCACATGAGTCATCTGGAGTTTTAATTCGGAGTCTGAGTCAGTAGGTCTGGGTGGGGCCTGAGATTCTGTGTTTCTTTCTTTTTTTTTTTTTCTCTCTCTTTTTTTTTTGAGACAGAGTCTCGCTCTGTTGCCCAGGCTGGAGTGCAGTGGCACACTGCAGCCTCCGCCTCCCGGGTTCAAGCAATTCTCCTGCCTCAGCCTCCCAAGTAGCTGGGACTACAGGCACATGCCACCACGCCTGGCTAATTTTTGTATTTTTAGTAGAAATGGGGTTTCACCATGTTGGCCAAGCTGGTCTCGCACTCCTGACCTCAGGTGATTTGCCCGCCTCAGCCTCCCAAAGTGCTGAGATTACAGGCATGAGCCACCATGTCTGGCCCTTTTTTTTTTTTTTTTTTTTCCAATTTGAGACCGGGTCACTACGTTGCCAAGGCTGGTCTCTAACTCCTGGGCTCAAGCGATCCGCCCACTGCAGTCTCCCAAAGTGCTGGGATTACAGGCGTTGAGCCACCGTGCCTGGCCAGATTCTGCATTTCTACAAGTTCCTGCTGATGCTGATGCTGTCTGTCTGTGGACCACAGTCTGAGTAGCAAGCATCCACATATTCGTAAGAGTGGAGTTGCTGGATGTTGAGGTCTGCACCTGTTCAGCTTCCCTGCTAATGCTAAACTATTTTCTGAAGCAGTTGTACACCAGCCATGAGACTGTTGCTTCTTGGGAAAAAAGATATAAAGGCTTCAAATTTAATGGATATTATTCAGTGCTCCTCTTACTTGAGCTTTCTGCAGTCTGTGACATACTTGACCACACTGTTTGATCCACTGCTTTTCCCTGGTTTCCATGACACCCCTGTATCCAGGCTCCCTTCCTTCTATAATTTCAGTCTGTTCTATAAACCCTCACTCCTTTCCTGTCTTGACCTTTTCCTCTGTTGATGCCTTTGGCCTTCTAGGCCTTTATCTCATTCTCTCTGGGTGGTACCATGTGCTCTTTAGAGATTGGTTACCAGGCCGGGCACGGTGGCTCACACCTGTAATCCGAGCACTTTGGGAGGCTGAGGCAGGTGGATCACCTGAGGTCAGGAGTTCGAGACCAGTCTGGCCAACATGGTGAAACCCTGTCTCTACTGAAAATACAAAAAATTAACCAGGGTGATGGTGTGTGCCTGTAATCCCAGCTACTCAGGAGGCTGAGGCAGGAGAATCGCTTGAACCTGGGAGGCAGAGGCTGCAGTGAGCTGAGATCATATCACTACACTCCAGCCTGAGTGACAGAGCGGGACTCCATCTCAAAAAAGAAAAAAAAAAAAAAAGAGAGATTGGTTACCACATTGATGACTCTGTGATGGTTAATTTTATGTGTCAGGCCAAGCGCAGTGGCTCACGCCTGTAATCCCAGCACTTTAGGAGGGCAAGGTGGGAGGATTACTTGAGCCCAGGATTTCAAGACCACTCTGGGTAAGATGGTGAAACCCTGTTTCCACAAAAAAAAAAAAAAAAAAAAAAAGATGTGTCAATTTGGCAAGGCTATGGTGCCCTTGGGCACTGTATATATACACATTTGCATTATTATTTATCTTAATGAGATAGACTCTCACTATGTTCTCCAGGCTGAACTTGAACTCCCAGTCTCAAGTGATTCTCCTGCCTCAGCCTCCTGGGTATCTGGGACTACAAGCATGCCACCATGCCTGACTGTAGTCTGGATACTTCAGTGAGGGCATTTTGTAGATAACACTGACATCTTGGCTGGGCACAGTGGCTCACGCCAGTAATTGGAGCACTTTGGGAGGCCAAGGTGGGCAGATCACCTGAGGTGAGGAGTTCGCGACCAGCCTGGCCAACATGGTGAACCGCTATCTCTACTAAAAATACAAAAATTAGCTGGGTGTGGTGGCAGGCACCTGTAATCCCAGCTAGTTGGGAGGCTGAGGCACAAGAATCATTTGAACCTGGAAGGCAGAGGTTACAGTGAGCTGAGACCGTGCCATTGCACTCCAGTCTGGGCAAGTCTGGGCAACAAAAGCGAAACTCCATCTCAAAAAAATAAAACGAAGCAAAGACATTGCCATCTATACTCAGCTGACGTTAAGTAAAGGAGTTTACTCTTTTTTTTTTGAGATGGAGTCTCATTCTGTCACCCTGGCTGGAGTGTAGTGGCGTGATCTCGGCTCACTGCAACCTCCGCCTCCTGGGTGTAAGCAATTCTCCCGCCTCAGGCTCCCGTGTAGCTGGGACTACAGGCACCACACCCGGCTAATTTTTGTATTTTTAGTAGAGACAGGATTTCACTATGTTGGCCAGGCTGGTCTTGAACTCATGACCTCGTGATCTGCCCGCCTTGGCCTCCAGAAGTGCTGGGATTACAGGCATGAGCCACCGTGCCTGGCCCTTTTTTTTTTTAAGACAGAATCTCGCTCTGTCACCCAGGCGCGATCTTGGCTCACTGCAACCTGCGATCCGACTCCCTGGTTCAAGTGATTGTCCTGCCTCAGCCTCCCAAGTAGCTGAGATTACAGGCACATGCCAACACGCCCAGTTAAGTTTTGTATTCACCGTGTTTCACTATGTTGGCCAGGATGGTCTCAATCTCATGACCTTGTGATCCGCCTGCCTCGGCCTCTCAAAGTGCTGGGATTTCAGGTGTGAGCCACCACGCCCAGCCAGGAGATTACTCTTGATATTGTGGCCTAAAGAGCAAGGACTTAGGTTTCCCAGAGAAGGAATTCTGCCTCAAGACTGTCACATAGAAATCCTGCCTGAGTGGCCGGGCGCGGTGGCTCACTCCTGTAATCCCAGCACTTTGGGAGGCCGAGGTGGGCGGATCATGAGGGCGGATCATGAGGTCAGGAGTTCGAGACCAGCCTGGCCAATATGGTGAAACCCCATCTCTACTAAAAATACAAAAATTAGCTGGGCGTAGTGGTGTATGCCTGTAGTCCCAGCTACTTGGGAGGCTGAGGCAGAAGAATCGCTTGAACCTAGGAGGCAGAGGTTGCAGTGAGCCGAGATCGTGCCACTGCACTCCAGCCTGGGCAACAGAGTGAGACTCCGTCTCAAAAAAAAAAAAGAAGACTATAGTTAATGAACAAGCAATCGGCCGGGCGCGGTGGTTCACGCCTGTAATCCCAGCACTGTGGGAGGCCGAGACGGGTGGATCACGAGGTCAGGAGATGGAGACCATCCTGGCTAACACGGTGAAACCCCGTCTCTACTAAAAATACAAAAAAATTAGCCAGGCGTGGTGGCAGGCGCCTG
Source organism: Homo sapiens (assembly GCF_000001405.40). Lineage (NCBI taxonomy): Eukaryota > Metazoa > Chordata > Mammalia > Primates > Hominidae > Homo > Homo sapiens. The sequence continues at coordinate 3,256,877 of NT_167247.2, forward strand.
TAGTCCCAGCTACTTGGGAGGCTGAGGCAGGAGAATGGCGTGAACCCGGGAGGCGGAGCTTGCAGTGAGCCAAGATCACACCACTGCACTCCAGCCTGGGCGACAGAGCAAGACTCCATCACAACAACAACAACAACAACAAAAACAATGAACAAGCAGTCATGGTGCAATGTGATAAGACACCCAGGTGTTCTGAGAGTCAGAGGAGGGCTCAGGGGCCCCGTGGTCTATGCCTCAACGTTGGTGCTGGCTTTCCCTTCCTCATTTCTGTGCTTGCTTTTAGCCCCTGTTGTCTTGCCAGGACTCTAAATGTCTCTTAACTGGTCTTCCAGCCCCTACATACTGATTCCAGAATAATATTTCTGAAATGCAAATCAAATCATATCACTTCCTTATCTAAAATTCCATATAGCAAATCGCCTTACAAGCTGTAAATGCTGTTTCTTCCATAAGGCATTCTCTCCTTCCTCCCTGGTCTAGTGTCATTGTGGCCTTCCTTCCCTCCCCAGCCCTGAAAGGTCCTGAACTTGCAGTTCCTTTAATGCGCTCTGGGGTTTCATTGCTCACCTGGATGCTTGCATCTCTTCCTTGTCAGGTAAACACTCATCTTTTAAGGCTATCTCAAGTTCATTGATGAAACCTTTCTGATCTTCTAGAGAGACCTAATATTCCCCTGTTTGTGTCCCTGTGAACTTTATATGGACTCCTATCTCAGCTTGTATCAGTCAGGATGGCTACATCATGCTGCAGTAACAAACAACCCTGGAATCTCAGTAGCTTAACACAACAGTTTTATTTCTCACTATTGCTCTCTGTTGGGTCAGTAGGAGTGTTAGAGTCTCTGATCATCATAGTCACTCAGGCATCCAGATCAAAGGAGGCTCCATCAAAAGAGGGTGCTGGAGTGTCTTGTGTTACATTGGCAGTTAAATACTTGTGCCTGACAGTAACAACACATGTGACTTCTGCTCTTATTTCACTGGCCAAAGCAAGCCAGTTAGGCCTCTTGCAGTGGCCTAACTTCAGGAGGGCTGAGGAATTCCATCCTATCATGTGCCTGGAAGGCAGAAAACGGGAAAATTCATGAAGAGCCTCAATGGCTGCCTCAACTCGGTGTAGCGCTGACTGGCTCACATATCTCTCTCCCACTGGACAGTGGGGGAACCAAACGTGTCACAGCGTTCCTACCCTTTAGCAGTTTGTGCTCCAGGAATGTGGAGAGACCAGTATATGGATGGATTATAACTCTGTGTTAATGTTACAGTCTGGGTTTGCTGGCGTGGAAGGAGTTTGTGGAAGAAGGGCAGTAGTTTATAGGGAGAGGAGGATGGAAAGGGATGATCTTAATTTTGGTGACCCTGACAGCAGAGCTTGAGACAGGACTTGGCCGTAGGTAGTTAATTTAGGTGATCCCAGAAAGCAGAAGCGAGGCTATAGGGAGTGTGAGATCCTGAAGGAGGAAAGGCCAGTTTAAGAGAATGATGTTGGCCGGGTATGGTGGCTCACGCCTGTAATCCCAGCACTTTGGGAGGCTGAGGTGGGTGGATCACCTGAGGTCAGGAGTTCGAGACCAGCCTGGCCAACACGACGAAACCCTGTCTCTACTAAAATTGCAAAAATTAGCCTGGCGTGGTGGCATGTGCCTGTCATCCCAGCTATTTGGGAGGCTGAGGCAGGAGAATTGCTTGAACCTGGGAGGCGGAGGTTGCGGTGAGCAGAGATTGCACCATTGCACTCCAGCCTGGGCAACAGAGTGAGACTCCGTCTCAAAAAAAAAAAAAAAAAAAGAGTGATGTCACTGTTGTGTGCAGTGGAGTTCGATTCCCCCAGGCCCTCCTGAGGAGAGAGCTGAATGTCTCCAGACGCTTTCCACCTGAAGGACAGGAGGCAGGAGCATCTGTCTACTGCTTCCCACTCTGCAATAATTGCAGGTTGACTCTGGGCATTAGTTCTCTGCCCTTTTTTTTTTTTTTTTTGAGACAGAGTTTTGCTCCTTTTGCCCAGGCTGGAGTTGTAGTGAGCTGAGATAGCGCCACTGTACTCCAGCCTGGGTGACAGGGCGAGACTCCATCTCAACAAAAAAAAAAAAAAAAAAAAAGGCTGGCTGTGGTGGCTCATGTCTGTAATCTGAGCACTTTGGGAGGCCGAGGCGGGTGGATTACCTGAGATCATGAATTTGAGACCAGCCTGGCAAACATGGTGAAACCTCGTCTCTACTAAAAATACAAAAATTAGCCGGCGTGCTGGTGGGCACCTGTAATCCGAGCTACTTGGGAGGCTGAGGCAGGAGAATCGCTTGAACCCAGGAGGCGGAGGTTGCAGTGAGCCAAGACGGCACCACTGCACTCCAGCCTGGGTGACAGAGTGAGACTCTGTCTCAGAAAAAAAAAAAAAAAGAAAAAAATTATGATACAGAGAACAATGAGATGTTTTATAAATTTATAGTTCAAAAGAAACATTTTATTTTGGTAAAAGCCAAGAAGTGAAAGATAAATAGTTTTGCAGCCATAAAAAAAAAAAATTAAATCATGTCCTTTGCAGCAACATGGATGGAGCTGGAGGACAGAATCCTAAATGAATTAGCGTAGGAACAGAAAACCAAATGCCTAATGTTCTCACTTATAACGGAACTAAATATTGAGCACATATGGACATAAATATAGGAACAATAGACACTGAAGACTACTAGAAGGGGAGAGAGGGAGGGAGTGTGGGTTAAAAAATTACCTAATTGGTTCTATGACTACCTAGTGCAATATACCCATGTAACAAACCTGCACCTGTACCCCCTGTATCTAAAATAAAAGTTGGAATTTTAAAAAAAGAAAAAAAGGCCAGGCGCGGTGGCTCATGCCTGTAATCCCAGCACTTTGGGAGGCTGAGGTAGGCGGATCACCTGAGGCCAGGAGTTGGAGACCAGCCTGGCCAACATGGTGAAACCCCGTCTCTACTAAAAATGCAAAAATTAGCTGGGCGTGGTGTCAGCCGTTTGTAATCCCAGCTACTTGGGAGGCTGAGGCAGGAGAATTGCTTGAACCCGGGAGGCGGAGGTTGCAGTGAGCCGAGATCACGCCATTGCACTCCAGCCTGGGTGACACAAAGAGACTCTATCTGAAAAAAAGAGAAAGAAAATGTGCTCTTATGTAAGTGAGAAATGTTCTGAAAAAAGAAAAAAGAGAAATATTTTAAAATGAAAAATTTGAGCTTTTCCGTAAAAAAATTTTTAATGAATTCCCAGCACTTTGGGAGGCCTAGGTTGGAGGATTGCTTGAGGCTAGTTCAAGACCAGCCTGGAAAACATAGCAAGACCTCATCTCTAATTAAAGTAAACAATTAAAAAAAACTTAGCCTGGTATGATGGTATATGCCTGTAATCTCAGCTACTCAGGAGGCTGAGGTGGGAGGATTGTGGAAGCCCAGGAGTTTGAGGCTGCCGTGAGCTATGATCAGGTCTCTGCACTCCAGCCTGGGCAACAAAGCAAGACCCCATCTCAAAAAAAAAATATTCCTCGAGGCCAGGCACAGTGGCTCACACTTGTAATCCTAACACTTTGGGAGACTGAGGCAGGAGGATCACTTGAAGCTAGGAGTTTGAGGCCAGTCCGGGCAACATACTGAGACCCCTGTCTTTACAAAAGTAAATAAATGAATAAATTAGCTGGGCATGGTGATGCATGCTTCTTGTCCCAGCTTCTTGGAAGGCTGAGGTGGGAGGATCATGTGAGCCCAGGAGTTTGTGGTTACAGTGAGCTGTGATTGCACCACTAAACTCCAGCCTGGGTGACAGTGAGACCCTGTCTTTAACTTAAAAAAAAAAAAAAATCCTGGCTGGGAGCGGTGGCTCACGCCTGTAATTCCAGCACTTTGGGAGGCCGAGGTGGGCGGATCACGAGGTCAGGAGTTCAAGACCAGCCTGGCCAAGTTGGTGAAACCCCATCTCTACTAAAAATACAAAAAAATTAGCTGGGTGTAGTGGCGGGCACCTGTAATCCCAGCTACTCAGGAGGCTTGAACCTGGGAGGCAGAGGTTGCAGTGGGCCGAGATTGCATCACTGCACTCCAGCCTGGGTGACAGAGCAAGACTCTGTCTCAAAAAAAAAAAAAAAAAAAAAAATTCCTGGAAGGAATGGTTGGTGGGTGGTATATAGACATGAACCCAGACCGTCTATGAACCGAGACCGTCTATGAACTGAAGCTAGATGATGGATACATACATGAAAGTTCATTTTACTATTCTCTCTACTTTACAATATGTTTGAAATTTTACAAAATAAAACTTAATCTGCAGAGAGATTGTATCAGGGTCTCTTGTTAATAGTCCAGTAGGGTATTTCTTTTCTTTTCTTTTCTTTTCTTTTTTTTTTTTTTCTGGAGACGGAGTTTTGTTCTTGTTGCCCAGGTTGGAGTGCAGTGGTGCAATCTCAGCTCACAGCAACCTCTGCCTCCCAGGTTCAAGCAATTCTCCTGCCTCAGCCTCCTGAGTAGGTGGGGTGACAAGTGCCTGCCAACACACCCGGCTAATTTTTGTATTTTTAGTAGAGACGGGATTTCACCATGTTGGTCAGGCTGGTCTCAAACTCCTGACCTCAGGTGATCCACCTGCCTTGGCCACCCAAAGTGCTGGGATTACAGGCGTGAGCCACTGGGCCTGGCCTTGAATAGGTATCATATGTACCCAGTGAAAACTACAAGGAGTAATAAAGGGGATTTGGTGAAAATTAAGTTGCCTTCTTTACCTCCCACCTCATTTTCCAGCCCCCAGTTCTCCCCAGAGGCAACTCTCCTATCCAGTTTTTTGTAAACTTTTCCAGTGAAATTATATACACACAGAGAGCATATGTGGCTACTATCCTCTTTCCCTCCTTTTTTTGCATAAATGGTGGCATCCCATACATACAGTTCTGAATGTCTATCTAGTTTAAAAGTGTATATTATATAACATATATATCTGGAGACATTCAGCTCTGTACACACAGATAAGCCTTAAGCTTGCAGAGACTGCGTAGTATTCAGTTGTCCCCATACCACAATGTGCTGTGTCTGTCCCCTATTAATGGACGTGGGAGTTTCCAAACATTTCCTCTTGGTAACAGTGAATGCTAAAGCAAATATCCTGGTACCTTTTATACCTGTAGGGTAGCCGATCTTCTCCTTTTGATGGTCCTAATTCTCAAAGGTAACCTTAAGGGGAGTGTATTTTGCTGTTGGTTCTGTGGATGACAGGTGACAAAACAGGGTGAGTAAGGCTACGAAATAGCTAATGAATTTGCCAAGCCAAACCTGAGGTTCCAGGCTGTCTTAAGTCAAAGCCTGAATTCCTCATACCACACTGGGGCTGGGGCCAGAGACGGGGCAGGAGGAGCTCTTCTCAGGTATAACCTTTCATTTGTGTTGGGCAGGAAAGCAAGGCATGAACGTATGTCTTTCTACTGGGCAAGTTCCCTCTTCACCCCTTGGCAGCACTGGAGGAGTGAGGGCAGGAGGATTCTCCCATGTGAGCCCCAGGCTATCCTTTTGTCAAGAGGGTACTGGTACCCAGAACTGGGAAGGGGATGAATATCTCCCCACTCCCCAGGATAAAGGAAAACATTAGAGAGGAATTTTCAATGAAAGGGCAGAGGAGGCTAGTGAGGCCCCCACTGCCACCAATGCTAAGCCCAGAGCTGGGGTTGGGGTGGTGAGGACCGGAGCCAGGGCAATTCAGCCATAGGCCACCCCTCCCCCTGGCCCATCCTCAGCTGACCCCTGAGCACCTGAGTTGTGTTTACCACCCTCTTACCTGGGTTACCCAGGGCAGCTTCCCTGATGGGTAGCAAGAAGTGGGTGATAACATGCACCATGCCCCCCACCAGCCCAAGGACAGTGGAGACCTCAGAGGGCTGAGGTAAGAGCTGCGGTGTGGGCAGATGGACACCCTGGTACACCCCAGGCCTGTGAGTCTTTAGAGGTTGAGTTTTTGTCTGAAAGAGATATGGCGCCTACAGGAGGTCAGGGACAGGCCTTCTGTTTCTTGGGAGGCCCTACCCCACCCCTTAGTTCCTCGTTCCATTCTCAGGAATTGTTTGTGCAATGGATGGACAAGGACAGGAGGTTCAGTGTCTAACCCAGTGTCTGGGCCTGCAGGGTGGCCTCTGAGGCCCAGGGCCCTGGAAGAGCCTGGGCATGGGGAGGAGCCCCATGGGGCAGGGCAAAACCCTTTCTGAGGCTCTAAGGGTGATGTATGTGGAGATTCCTCAAGATCATAGTTGGGCAATCACTTCAAAGTTAGTAGGCAGTGCCTGCTAGGATGGGGGATGGTGTGTGTACCGAGGAACTTAGCAGAGGCCTTTGTGTGGAAATGGGTGGGGTCTGACCCAATGTAAATATTTTTATTAAAAAAGAAATGGATGAGAAACCAAAGCCAATTCTGTTGCTGACCTGAAAGATGCTATTTACTTGGGGTGGAAATAGGATGGGGGAGGGCATTGGCTTGACCTTACTTGGATAGCTCATTGTTTAAAAAAAAAACTCCTGGATCCTTCCTCTGGGGAGCTTGAGACAAGTGCACAAGTAGCTAGAAGGTGGGAAATGGCGTGGACAGGTCTTGTAGGAGTCTGGAAGATGAGGGATTTGAGAAGGATGGAAAAGAAGGTGTTATGGGAGAGGGGGTGCCAAGAGGAAAGAGCCTAGGGGAGAGAGGGCTTGGAAATGCAAGGGGCTGGGGTAGACTTCAGGGATGCGCAAGGAGCTCCCAGCAGTCACTAAAGAGAAGACGTGAGGAAGAGGCACTACCACTTGGTGGCTATGAGTGTGGACCCAGGAGCCATGCTGCCTGGGTTTGAATCCCGGCTCTGCTGCTTAGTACCTGTATGAACCTGGGGCAGCTCACTTAACCTTTGTGTGCCTCAGTTCCCTCATCTGTAAAGTGGGAGTAACAACAGAACCTGTGTCATAAGCTTGCTGTGAGGATTAAGTGAGCACCTACATTTAAGACTTAAAAATACTGTCTGGCACTATGTCCTGCTAATATGAAGTCTTCCTCCCCCAGAAGCAGACCTGGAGACAAGGGTTCCAGTGCAGACAGTGCATTCTGGAGGTGATCGCAAGAAACATGGGTAGTGGAGTGTGATAGAGAAGGAAGGCAGTCAATGAAGGGTGTGTTATCAGGCAAATTTACCATTGTGGGTGAGTGGAGGTCAATCCCACTCAGGAACCCTGGAGTGGTGCAGAGTTATCCCATGGTCCAGGGTGAGGGAGCCCAGTATTTATACCAATCAGTCATTGGTTGAAGGCCTTAATTCTCTGTCATTTCCAGCTTTCTGTGCACAGATGGTGCAGGACACCAAAAACAATCCTTGGGTAGAGACAGAGATGCTGCAGCTGGAAGTCAGTGGAGCACCCCAGTGATAAGGCCCAAGGGATATGGTGGGGCAAGGACAGATCCACTAAAACCACCAAGAGGCTTGCAGAGCAATGCTGAATCCCCATCTAAAGTCACACATTAAGGCTGTGAACCAGGCCAAGCCAGACTAGTTTTCCAATTTGGGGGTTGACCTGCAGTTGCCATAGAAGGTTGAGGGGTGGCAGATCCTAGGATGACCGCGAAGTCCATGCCCAAGTGGCCAGACTGGATAAGGAGTAGACTGGCCACTAGAGTGGGGTCGGCCTCTGCTATATGCCACGTTTCCTCAGAAATTTTCAGCTGCAAGGTGCTGAGCTCTCCAGGGGAGAATAAGGCATCCTGAGAGGCCATCAGAGCATCATTTCTGATTTTTAAACTCTGATTAGGGGGCCTGGCACAGTGGCTCACACCTGTAATCCCAGCACTTTGGGAGGCAGAGGCAGGTGGATCACCTGAGGTCAGGAGTTTGAGACCAGCCTGACCAGCATGGTGAAACCCCATCTCTACTAAAAATACAAAAATTAGCTGGGCATGGTAGCACATGCCTGTAATCCCAGCTACTTGGGAGTCTGAGGCAGGAGAATCCCTTGAACCCAGGAGGTGGAGGTTGCAGTGAGCCGAGATCGTACTGCTTCACTCCAGCCTGGGCAACAAAGCAAGACTTTGTCTCAAAAACAAAAAACCAAAAAAACCAAAAGCAAAAATCCAACTCTGACTAGGAGATGAAGTACAGAATTGGGGTATTGGTTTTTTCTCTTTGGAATTGTACCCTTGGAAGCAGATATTAGAAGCCTAGAATTGATAAGAAGAAATTTGGACAAGATGGAAGAAGCTGGCAGGAGAGGCATGTCTGTTTTTTAGATATTATTCACCTGCTTCCCTCTACCTGGAGTGAAAACACGGTTACATTTGCTGGGCTTTTGAATGGTACAAGAAATAGAGAAGCCAAGGTCGCCCTCATCTGGTGGGGTCTACTGAAAAGCTAATCGGGAGTGCCGAGGGGAATAAAGGTCTGGCATCTTTAGCCCCACAGGTCAGGTCATGGTCCTTCCACATTCGACTGGGCCTCCTGGAGAGCTGACAGTGGACTATAACTGACTTTTTGCCAATGGAATATGAATGGAAGAGTGGGGTGGGAGGCAGACTTGATGGAGACCCTGTTTCAACCATGCAGACAAGGACAATTTCCAAAGGCATGAACCACAGATGGAAGGAAGCTGGAGGCCTGAAGGAGGCTGATGAGCAGCTCTGCCAGCCAGGGCCACACACGCCATCTCAGCCTTGTCTGCTTACCCTGAGCCTCTTATTTTGTTTTTATTTTTTTTTTGTTGAGATGGAGTCTTGCTCTGTCACCCAGGCTGGAGTGCAGTGGCACGATCTCCGCTCACTGCAAGCTCCATCTCCCGGGTTCACGCCATTCGCCTGCCTCAGCCTCCCGAGTAGCTGGGACTACAGGCGCCGCCACCACACCCAGCTAATTTTTTTTTTTTTGTAGTTTTAGTAGAGACAGGGTTTCACCATGTTAGCCAGGATGGTCTCGATCTCCTGACCTCGTGATCCGCCCGCCTCGGCCTCCCAAAGTGCTGGGATTACAGGCGTAAGCCACCGCACCCGGCCTCTGAGGCTCTTATTTATTTATTTTTTTTGAGATGGAGTCTCGCTCTGTCTCCCAGGCTGGAGTGCAGTAGCGCGATCTCAGCTCACTGCAAACTCTGCCTCCCGGGTTCCTGCCATTCTCCTGCCTCAGCCTCCCGAGTAGCTGGGACTACAGGCGCCTGCCACCGCGCCCGGCTAATTATTTGTATTTTTTAGTAGAGACGGGGTTTCACCGTGTTAGCCAGGATTGTCTCGATCTCCTGACCTTGTGATCCACCCGCCTCGGCCTCCCAAAGTGCTGGGATTACAGGCGTGAACCACCGCGCCCGGCCTCTGAGGCTCTTATTTGAAAGTGCAGCAAAATTCTATCTTATTTAAGTTACTGTATTTTAGGGTCTCTTTATTACAGAAGTTTAACGTGTATCCTAATAAACACACTTCTCTGAGTGTTGCCTTTGGCTCTCACATTGATTTCTTGCTAGGTATATCAGTTAGACATGGTTTGGCTTTGTTATAACCAAGCTAGAATAACAGCAGCTTAAATGGTCTGAGCATAAGTGGTCCAGGTCAATCCTATTAGCTCTACAGGATTGGAGAGCAGGGCCTCTTTAATTTTGTTTCTTTATCATCATCCACATGTGACTTCCATTTTGTGATCTAGGTGGCTGTTCCAGAGTCCACCATTCTGTCCACATTCCAGCTGGTGGGAAGGGAAGAAGTTTTATACATTGAGGAGTAAACACTTCTCCTTAAGAACATACTCTGTGGGCCCAGAAAACTTGGGAGTTTTATTACTTAAGCAGGAAGAGAGAATGAATTCTGCCACACTGTGCCAAGTTGATGTAGCTCAACAAATACTGGGAAAAACTCATGAAAGAAAGGCCCTTTCTTTTGAAGGCAGCTGTTACATATTAGTTTGATGGCTTTAAAAGGCACCCAAAGTTTAGTGATTTGAATGTTCAGTCAGGTTAGGCTTCATTACGTTCTGGTAACCAACAACCTAGAAATATTTGTTGCCATAGGAGGGCTTACAAAATATAGCCATCAGTCTCTCCTATTCTGATGTGCCTGCCCCTTTGCCGTGTGACTTTGCCATTCCTCCTATCAAGAGGTAAATTCTATGCCTCCAGTCTTAAATCTGGGCTGACCTTGTGATTTGCTTTGACCAATAGAATGTGGCAGAAGTGATGTTATGTGACTTTTGGGGCTAGGCCTCGAGAGACCTTGCAGCTTATGTTTTGGATTCCTCAGAAGTTGTCCTGAGACTGCCATGCTATGAGGGCTAGGGAGGAAGGACCTGCTGTCCTACTGTTAACTGAACTCAGCCCCTAGCTGACTGCCGCTGCATGGAAGATCAGCAGAAGAACCTTCTGGCCAATATGAGAAAGAATAAATCATTTTTAAATTTCCTACATATTGGGTGGGTACTTTTTTTCCTGCATTAGTAGAAATGCAATGAATTAAAATAACAAAGGTTTATTTTTTGGTCATATTACTTATCCACTGAGAGTCAGCCGAGTATTGCGCTTTTTTTTTCTTTTTTGAGACAGAGTCTCCCTATGTCACCCAGGCTGAAGTGCAGTGGTGTGATCTCGGCTCACTGCAATCTCTGCCTCCCGGGTTCAAGCGATTCTCCTACCTCAACCTCCTGAGCAGCTGGGATTACAGGCGTATGCCACCACGCCCAGCTAATTTTTGTATTTTTAGTAGAGATGGGGTTTCACCATGTTGGTCAGGCTGGTCTCTAACTCCTGAACTCAGGTGATCCCCCTGCCTCGGCCTCCCAAAGTGCTGGGATTACAGGTGTGAGCCACTGTGCCCGGCTGGTACTGTGCTTTCGATATCACCCAGGGATCTTGGCTGGTGGAGCAGCCACCATCTCAGACGTTACCATACAGAGGGGAAGAGCAGGGTGAAGACTACATTGAGCTTCCATCAGGAAGTGATACATATCACTTGTACTCACATCTTATTGGCTAAAACAAGTGGCTGGGGAAATCCTATCCTACCATGTGATTGAAAGAAGACAAGGCTACAGTATTTGTGAACATCCTTAAATACCCCCCACCTTTACGATAGTTTATTTCTCTCTTGTAACAATCTAAGTGGCTGTGCAGGGCTGGTATGACATCAACACTGTGTCAGACACCCAGGCTCCTCTGTCTGTTTGCTCTGTCATCCCCAGCATGTTGCCCTCATCCTCCTGGTGGAAGACGGATCTCCGCTAGGTTTATATTCCAGCCCATGAAAAGAAAAGGCACACTGCCTTTTTATTTTAGGGACATAACTTGGAAATGACATACATAAGTTCTACTAACATCCCATTAGCCAGAACCAAGTCACCTGGCTACCTAGCTGCAAGGGAAGCTAGGAAATATGGTCTTTAGCTGGGTGACTGTATGTTCCCCTAACCATCTCTTACTGTGGAAGGAGGGAGAAAAGATACTTGAGGGGCAGGGGAGGCACTAGCAGCTCTGCCACAGCAGCCACTTTGGAGTCCCTAACACCAGGATGTCCTGATTTTCATGCACTTAGCCCTGTCCAAGGGGAGTCTCAATTTGTGTACTCTTTTTTTTTTTTTTTGAGACAGAGTCTTGCTCTTGTCACCCAGGCTGGAATGCAGTGGCATGATCTTGGCTCACTGCAACCTCTGCCTCCCGGGTTCAAGTGATTCTCCTGCCTCAGCCTCCCGAGTAGCTGGGATTACAGGCCCCTGCCACCACACCCGGCTAATTTTTTGTAATTTTAGTAGAGACGGGGTTTCACCATGTTGGCCGGGCTGGTCTCAAATTCCTGACCTCATGATCCACCCGCCTCAGCCTCCCAAAATGCTGGGATTACAGGCGTGAGTCACTGTGCCCGGTCTTATTTTTTTTTTTTCTTTTTGAGATGTAGTCTTACTCTGTTGCCCAGGCTGGAGTGCAGTGGCACAATCTTGGCTCACTGCAACCTCCATCTTCTAGGTTCAATCAGTTCTCTAAGGACTCACTTATAAATCAAAAGGGTTTTTACGAACCTAAATGATCACTTCAGAGAGGTTTCATGTTCATTTTTTTATTGGTCTTATTTATTTTTACCCTACGTTGTTCAAAAAGGTATTGAAAAGACTTCTGTGGGTCAGGGAGACTAACACACTAGCTTCAAGTTTCTTTGCTTCCTGCATTTCATACAAGTGTAGGTTATGATTTAAAGGCATATCCCAGCCCCCGCAAAAGTTTTATTCCTTTGAGTAACCAACCCCAAATGTATTTACTTTGCCAGTTGGGAATTTCATCTACTAGACTTTCCGTAAAAATGTTGTAAACATTTTTCCTGTCTCCAAAACTAAGTGTTGATTTCATTTTTTCCACCTAGATTATCTCTAGGGAAGGATTGTAGGGAATAAAAAAGTATTGTCAATCTTCCTATTTATCAAGAAGTTCTAAAAAAATTAGTTTCACCCCCCTCGGAAGTTTATCTTCAAGAAGACAGAACTGTTCTAGGCTCTCAGGAAGTAAAACCCACTTGGTACAACCCAAAAGAACACTAAAACTTTACTTAAATGAAATATTTTGCAATATCTTGGATGGTTTGTGGGTTTGTGTGCTTTAGACTATTGACTATTCACACAAGAGCAAGGTGCATGTGTGCACACACGAGCCCAAATATGTGTTTGCCTGCGTGTTTGTGAGCATGCGTGTATGGTGCACATGTGCACGCATGGGTGGGTGGAGCGTGGGGGCAGTACACAAAGCCTGTGGGGGAGATCTATTGACCCTATAGATATATTAGCATCAGGGAGACAGGGCAAAGGTTTCACCCTTCAGTTCAGTCCCCAATCCCTGCTTATTATTTCCCTAACAGAAGACCATCCCCCTTGCCACTCCCTGGTTTTTCTTCTCTGGCAGCAATGAAGCAGCTGCTGACCCAGCTCTAGTTTTCGGGAAGTCAGATGACCTTTTCCCTCCCGCGGCTCTCTACCTCTCGCCGCCCCTAGGGAGGACACCATGGGCCCACTGATGGTTCTTTTTTGCCTGCTGTTCCTGTACCCAGGTAGGAGGCAGGGAAGGGGGAACGTCAGGGTCCTGTGTGTGAGGTTGGTGCTCCCAGCTTGAATTCCCATGTGTGAAACAGTCTCTTTTGCTTTCCTTTTCTCATCTGTGTCTTCCTTCTTTCTCCATTGCTGTCTCCTTGTTCCCACGGCTCTAGGTCTGGCAGACTCGGCTCCCTCCTGCCCTCAGAACGTGAATATCTCGGGTGGCACCTTCACCCTCAGCCATGGCTGGGCTCCTGGGAGCCTTCTCACCTACTCCTGCCCCCAGGGCCTGTACCCATCCCCAGCATCACGGCTGTGCAAGAGCAGCGGACAGTGGCAGACCCCAGGAGCCACCCGGTCTCTGTCTAAGGCGGTCTGCAAACGTGAGGCTCCCTGTGGGCTTTGCTCAGGGTGCTACACCAGGGGCCACCCCAGAACTTTTGTTTAGGAGTTGCTCAGGGTGGGACTTAACCTGACTAGATGGCAAAGTTGCTTTTGCAGAGGGCTTTTCAAAATATCCAGAAAATGTCAATTGCCAGTAGCAAGGAATTGGGAACAGGTCTTGATGGAGACTGTGGGGTACTAAAGCCAGGGATGACTTTTTATGTACAATTGACTGCCTAGTAGTGACCATTCAGAACAGATGCTGAATGGTCCTGGAGTCCTCTAGACATCTGAGGATCCCAAGGGGAGTGTCTGGGGAGGCCACGGCCCTCAGGAGACTGAGGGAAGTGGCTATTTATCAATCAGTTCGCTTAGACTCTGTGAAATTGGCAATATTCAATCAGTTGCCAAAAACAGCAATTTCACATGTTGCAACCTAATATTTCAGTGTTTTGACAGCCAGTTGACCATTCCCATGCATTCCAGCATAAAATCACCTGCTTAATCCCCAGCCCAGGTGTTATCCATCCAGTCCTATATTCCCCACCCACTTCCTCTCTCTCCAGCTGTGCGCTGTCCAGCCCCTGTCTCCTTTGAGAATGGCATTTATACCCCACGGCTGGGGTCCTATCCCGTGGGTGGCAATGTGAGCTTCGAGTGTGAGGATGGCTTCATATTGCGGGGCTCGCCTGTGCGTCAGTGTCGCCCCAACGGCATGTGGGATGGAGAAACAGCTGTGTGTGATAATGGGGGTGAGTTCTCTGGCTGATGGGCTACACAGGGGGCTGGGGTCTCCTGGGGAACCCTGGGGCCCAATGTGCATCCAGGAAGCCTCTGTGGGGATAGGAGTCTGTTGTTCAGTGTGCCATAATAATATTCCTGGATTTTGGTAAATTGAGGTCTACAGGTCACACATCACAAGTCTGCAAGGGCCAGGCCCCAGGCAGCTGGTGCTAAGCTTCAGATGTAGCATAAAGCCTCCACACACTCTGCCTGGCTTTTCTAAGTGCCTCAAAGCAAGACTTCATATTCAGGCCCCACAGATTGTTGTAGGGAAGATATGCTGGGAGAGAGTCAAGTACTGTGCTTTAATGCCTTGCCTTTAAAGCCAGGTTTGGGTTCCAAGCCCTACTCTGACTTTGACAGACTTTGGGAAGGCTATTTAACCTTTCTAGCCCTCAGTTTTCCCATCTGTAAGACAAGGATAGTGAGTGCTGACCTGAGATTGCCATCTGGATTAAATGAGTTGACATTAGTAAGCATATACAACAGCCCTGGAGTGCGGTGGCTCACGCCTGTAATCCCAGCACTTTGGGAGGCCAAGGGGGGTGGATCACAAGGTCAGGAGTTTGAGACCAGCTTGGCCAACATGGTGAAACCCCGTCTCTAGTAAAAATACAAAAATTAGCCGGGTGCGGTGGCGCATGCCTGTAATACCAGCTATTCAGGAGGCTGAGGCAGGAGAATCATTTGAACCAGGAAGTGGAGATTGCAGTGAGCCGAGATTGCATCATTGCACTCCAGCCTGAGTGACAGAGTAAGACTCTGTCTCAAAAAAAAAAAAAAAAAAAAAAATGCCAGCCTCGGTGCCTCACGCCTGTAATCCCAGCACTTTGGGAGGCTGAGGTGGGTGGATCACCTGAGGTCAGGAGATTGAGACCAGCCTGGTCAACGTGGTGAAACCTCGTCTATACTAAAAATACAAAAATTAGCTGGGCGTGGTTAATCCCAGCTACTCAGGAGGCTGAGGCAGGAGAATCACTTGAACCTGGGAGGCAGAGGTTGCAGTGAGCCGAGATCGTGCCACTGCACTCCAGCCTGGGTGACAGAGTGAGACTCTGTCTCAAAACAAACAAACAAACAAACAAACAAAAAACAAAAAAAACAGCCCCTGGAATCTGATAAATGCCATGTACACTTTTTTTTTTTTTTGAGACGGAGTCTAGCTCTTGTTGCCCAGGCTGGAGTGCAATGGCGCAATCTCAGCTCACCGCAACATCTGCCTCCCGGGTTCAAGTGACTCTCCTGCCTCAGCCTCCCAAGAAGCTGGGATTACAGGCATGCGCCACCATGCCTCGGTAATTTTCTATTCTTAGTAGGGACAGGGTTTCTCCATGTTGGCCAGGCTGGTCTCAAACTCCTGACCTCAGGGGATTCTGCCCACCTTGGCCTCCCAAAGTGCTGGGATTACAGGCGTGAGCCACGGCATCCGGCCTTGTTTTTGTTTCTTTAAGAGACAGGATCTCGCTGTGTTGCCAAGGCTGGCTTCAAACTCCTGAGCTCAAGTGATCTTCCTACCTCAGCCTCCTCAGTAGCTGGGAATGCAGGCATGTGCCACCACACCTGGCCATAAGCACTTTTGTCATAGTTATTGCTGCCCCTGTGAATGGTGAGGGGCTCTGCTTGGCAGAAGTAGGGCTCCTAGGATTCCCTGGAGCTGCATTTGCCTGTGGGTTTGGGAGCTTCTTGGATCATGGTTCTTAGCACATCATACAGAAGACACGGAGTCCACAAGATGGCAGGACCACCTTCACCTAGTGGCCCAGACCATGGATCCCCACTCATGCCCTTGGGTTTTGGCAAATGGCCATTTATTCTGTAGGAGGGTGAAGTAGATGCCTGGTAAGACTGTGATAAGTAATGCTTGAATTATTAGACGTGACTCTAACTTATTTTAAAATTGAGGCATAATTTACCTATTGTAAAATGTACAAATCTTAACTATTCAGCTCAATGATTTGTTACAATGCATCCACTCATCTAATCACCACCCAAGACAGAATGAGGTTCCCTCTTGTCCCCTCCCACAAGGTAACTGCTCTTCTGACCTCTGTCTCCATGGACTAGGTACCTTGTGCTTACATTTCCTGTAAATGGAATCATGCGGGATGTGGTCTGTTGCTTCTGGCATCCTTTGTTCTATATTCTGCCTGTGAGATTTATCCATGCTGTTGTGTGTATCAGTACTTTGTTCTTTTTTATTGCTGTGTAGTATTCCATTATATGGGTATATTACAATTTATCCATTCCCCTCCTGATGGACATTTGGATTATTTCCAGTTTGGGGCCATTAGGAGTAAAGCTCTAGGAACATTCTTTTTTTTTTTTTTTTTTAATTGATCATTCTTGGGTGTTTCTCACAGAGGGGGATTTGGCAGGGTCACAGGACAATAGTGGAGGGAAGGTCAGCAGATAAACAAGTGAACAAAGGTCTCTGGTTTTCCTAGGCAGAGGACCCTGCGGCCTTCCGCAGTGTTTGTGTCCCTGGGTACTTGAGATTAGGGAGTGGTGATGACTCTTAAGGAGCATGCTGCCTTCAAGCATCTGTTTAACAAAGCACATCTTGCACCGCTCTTAATCCATTCAACCCTGAGTGGATACAGCACATGTTTCAGAGAGCACAGGGTTGGGGGTAAGGTCACCGATCAACAGGATCCCAAGGCAGAAGAATTTTTCTTAGTACAGAACAAAATGAAAAGTCTCCCAGGTCTACCTCTTTCTACACAGACACGGCAACCATCCGATTTCTCAATCTTTTCCCCACCTTTCCCCCCTTTCTATTCCACAAAACCGTCATTGTCATCATGGCCCCTTCTCAATGAGCTGTTGGGTACACCTCCCAGACGGGGTGGTGGCCGGGCAGAGGGGCTCCTCACTTTCCAGTAGGCGCGGCCGGGCAGAGGCGCCCCTCACCTCCCGGACAGGGCGGCTGGCCGGGCGGGGGGCTGACCCCCCCACCTCCCTCCCGGACGGGGCGGCTGGCCGGGCGGGGGGCTGACCCCCCCACCTCCCTCCCGGACAGAGTGGCTGGCCGGGCAGAGGGGCTCCTCACTTCCCAGCAGGGGCGGCCGGGCAGAGGCGCCCCTCACTTCCCGGATGGGGCGGCTGGCCGGGCGAGGGGCTGACCCCCCCACCTCCCTCCCGGACGGGGCGGCTGGCCGGGCAGAGTGGCTCCTCACTTCCCAGTAGGGGCGGCCGGGCAGAGGCGCCCCTCACTTCCCGGACGGGGCGGCTGGCCGGGCTGGGGGCTGACCCCCCCACCTCCCTCCCGGACGGGGCGGCTGGCCGGGCGGGGGGCTGACCCCCCCACCTCCCTCCCGGACCAGGTGGCTGCTGGGCGGAGGGGCTCCTCACTTCTCAGACAGGGCGGCTGCCGGGCGGAGGGGCTCCTCACTTCTCAGATGGAGCGGTTGCCAGGCAGAGGGTCTCCTCACTTCTCAGACGGGGCGGCCGGGCAGAGACGCTCCTCACATCCCGGATGGGGCGGCCGGGCAGAGGTGCTCCCCACATCTCAGACGATGGGCGGCAGGGCAGAGACGCTCCTCACTTCCCAGATGTGATGGCGGCCGGGAAGAGGCGCTCCTCACTTCCTAGATGGAATGGCGGCCGGGCAGAGACGCTCCTCACTTTCCAGACTGGGCAGCCAGGCAGAGGGGCTCCTCACATCCCAGACGATGGGTGGCCAGGCGGAGACGCTCCTCACTTCCCAGACGGGGTGGCGGCCGGGCAGAGGCTGCAATCTCGGCACTTTGGGAGGCCAAGGCAGGCTGCTGGGAGGTGGAGGTTGTAGCGAGCCAAGATCACGCCACTGCACTCCAGCCTGGGCATCATTGAGCACTGAGTGAACGAGACTCCGTCTGCAATCCCAGCACCTCGGGAGGCCGAGGCTGGTGGATCACTCGCGGTTAGGAGCTGGAGACCAGCCCGGCCAACACAGCGAAACCCCGTCTCCACTAACAAAATACGAAAACCAGTCAGGCGTGGCGGCGCGCGCCTGCAATCGCAGGCACTCGGCAAGCTGAGGCAGGAGAATCAGGCAGGGAGGTTGCAGTGAGCCGAGATGGCAGCAGTACCGTCCAGCTTCGGCTCGGCATCAGAGGGAGACCGTGGAAAGAGAGGGAGAGGGAGACCATGGGGAGAGGGTGAGGGAGAGGGAGCTCTAGGAACATTCTTGCATGTGATTTTGGTACATGTATGCACTTGCTTCTCTTGAGTAAATGATCTAAATGTGGAATTGTCACATCACAGGCTGGCATATGTTTAGTTGTAGTAGAGGCTGAGAAAGTTTCACCCACGTACATGCCAGCAAGGTAACAGAGTGCCAGTCGCTCTGCATCCTCTCCAACACTTGGAATTACCTGTTGTTTCAGTGTTAGCCGTTTTGATGGGTGTGTAGGGATGCCTCACTGTGGTTTATGAAATATAAATGTTCTCTGAAGGAGTGGAGGGACCATCAGCTGACTTCTTCCCTGGGTCTCTGGGGGCTCTGGGACAGACATGGGTGCATCCCTGGGTTGGAACTGGGAAGCTTCTGCTGGCAACTGAGGCCGCTGAGGAGGCAGAGCCTGATGGGAGGGGGCTACTCACCTCTGCCTTCCTTTGTTCACTCGCAGCTGGCCACTGCCCCAACCCAGGCATTTCACTGGGCGCAGTGCGGACAGGCTTCCGCTTTGGTCATGGGGACAAGGTCCGCTATCGCTGCTCCTCGAATCTTGTGCTCACGGGGTCTTCGGAGCGGGAGTGCCAGGGCAACGGGGTCTGGAGTGGAACGGAGCCCATCTGCCGCCGTGAGTAGCTGCCCTGCCCTCCTGAGATTCCTCGGCACACCCGGCCACTGCCCCGGCTGACTCCTGTGTGGCTCTCCCCACAGAACCCTACTCTTATGACTTCCCTGAGGACGTGGCCCCTGCCCTGGGCACTTCCTTCTCCCACATGCTTGGGGCCACCAATCCCACCCAGAAGACAAAGGGTGAGTGTTTGAGGTGGGGTTTCTGGTTGAGCAGGGTGCTGGATCTGGGCCGGAGCAAGGGAGGATGCAACCTTCCTGGAGGCCAGGAGCCTTGGTGGGCTCAGCCACTGAAAGGGAGGGAGGCAGAGAAGCTGGACCTGCTTGGCGAGAGCGCAGGAAGGAGGTGGGGATCTGAATCCTCCCCTTCCACATTTCTCCAGAAAGCCTGGGCCGTAAAATCCAAATCCAGCGCTCTGGTCATC
This sequence comes from Homo sapiens, assembly GCF_000001405.40. Classification (NCBI taxonomy): domain Eukaryota; kingdom Metazoa; phylum Chordata; class Mammalia; order Primates; family Hominidae; genus Homo; species Homo sapiens. Next base: position 3,276,244 of record NT_167247.2, read on the forward strand.
TGAACCTCTACCTGCTCCTGGACTGTTCGCAGAGTGTGTCGGAAAATGACTTTCTCATCTTCAAGGAGAGCGCCTCCCTCATGGTGGACAGGGTCAGGAATCAGGAGTCTGCCTGCAGCAGAGGCCTTCCTGTGCTCACTATCTCTCTCTGTCTCCTTCCCCTCCTCAGAACCCCACTCACAGCCCACCTCCTCCAAGAAGTCTTCTCAGATTATACTCATGCCATGTAGGAATCATGAATTCAATTTATACAATCATAATTTTTATTCCACAAGCACTGTTGGGACACTGTGCTGGGGCTGGGCGACAGCAAAGATGGAAAGGCTGAGGTCTTACTTTCCAGGAATTCATCATCTAGAACAGTGGTCTCCACAGAAAGGTAGTGAGATAACCCACAGGAGTGAAGCAGAAAAATACTGGTGCCCCTGTGGAATAATTTAAATCAGATTAATAATTTAATATTTAATAATTTCCTTTTAAAACTTCAACATTTTGTGCAGGCTTTAAAATGTGTGTGATAGACTGGGCATGGTGGCTAGTGCCTGTAATCCCAACACTTTGGGAGGCCGAGGCAGGTGGATCACTTGAGGTCAGGAGTTTGAGACCAGCCTGACCAACATGATGAAACCCTGTCTATACTAAAAATACAAAATTAGCCACATGTGATGGCGCACGCCTGTAACCCAGCTACTTGGGAGGATGAGGCAGGAGAATCGCTTGGATCCGGGAGGTGGAGGTTGCAGTGGGCTGAGATCACGCCATTGCACTCCAGCCTGGGCAACTAGAGCAAAACTCTGTCTCAAAAAAATAAATAAAATAAAATAAAATAAAATAAAATATGTGTGATAGAAGTTTGGAAGCCACTGGTTTAAGTTCCTCGCCAGAACTTTGTTTTGTAATTGTGCTTTTCACAATACTTCATGTAACATTATAGATGGTTTTCCCTCCCAGCTACATTTTAAAGAGGGCAGTTTCTGTGCTCTCTTGGGACTCAAAATTAAGTAACTCATTGCACTGCGAGGCGGCAACACACACCAGTTGGAGCAGTGATTGAGAATCATGTGACACATTCAGATCCCACTTCCACCTCCTCCTCATGGTGTGATGGGGGAAGGGGGACAAGGCAACATACCTCAGTTTCCTTATCCATAAAATAGGGGTCATCATGCCCCTCACAGGGTGGAGTGAAGAGAGTCTGTCAAAGAGAAAGATGTTCAACAAAGGTTTCTTCCTTAGCTGCTGCTGTTCCTTATTTTTATTATTATTATTATTATTATTATTTTTGAGATAGAGTCTCTGTCACCCAGGCTGGAGTACAGTGGTGCGATCTCAGCTCACTGCAAACTTTGCCTCCTGGGTTCAAGTGATTCTTCTGCCTCAGCCTCCTGAGTAGCTGGGATTATAGGTGCTTGCCACCATACCAGGCTAATTTTTGTATTTTTAGTAGAGATGGGTTTTGCCATGTTGGTCAGGCTGGTCTCGAACTCCTGACCTCAGGTGATCCACCTGCCTAAAGTGTTGGGATTCAGGCATGAGCCACCGCGCCCAGCCCCTAGCTTCTTCCTAACAGCCATTTCCTAGTGTCTCCCCTGGTCCTTGCCTCTGTCGGTCTCACTCCAGTTTCTCTGCCTCCTCCAGGGCCCTTTGTTTGCTCTCTTACCATCTCCCCTTTGGCTTCAGGGCCCTTTACGCTGCCTCTCACTTGCCCCGCACAGATCTTCAGCTTTGAGATCAATGTGAGCGTTGCCATTATCACCTTTGCCTCAGAGCCCAAAGTCCTCATGTCTGTCCTGAACGACAACTCCCGGGATATGACTGAGGTGATCAGCAGCCTGGAAAATGCCAACTATAAAGGTACGGGTGTCATCACGTGATGGTGATGAGAGAGGAGAAGATGGACCCTCTCAGGGCCTGCAAACAAATTCTGGATGAGTTAAAAAGAGAGTGAGGCCTCTTGGTGGCACCTGAGTCCCACGAGTCTGGGGTAGTTTCAACGTCCAGGGTTATGGTGGGGGAGTCCAGCTGCCCCCAGCTCATAGCTCATTCTGAGATGCTGCAGGTCCAAAGACACTGTGCAGGTCTTCAATTCCTTCCAGTTGCCAAAACCACACTGTCTGGTTTGCATGGCTGCACACTGCCATCTCCCCATGTCATTAGCCACCCATACACCATGTAAAGTGCCTGGTTGGCACTTAGCAAATGGCTGAAGCCACTCAAGGTTTTGGAAACCTCATCTTTGAATCTTGGGACTTTAGTGTGGTCTTGGATTGGGGTTATGCAATGAACATTTCTTTTTTCTTCTTCTTTTTTTTTTTTTTGAGGTGGAGTCTCGCACTGTCACCCAGGCTTGAGTGCAGTGGCACGATCTTGGCTCACTGCAACCTCTGCCTCCAGGGTTCAGGCAATTCTCCTGCCTCAGCTTCCCGAGTAGCTGAGATTTCGGGCACCTGCCACCATGCCTGGCTAATTTTTTATATTTTTAGTTGAGATGGGGTTTCACTATGTTGGTCAGGCTGGTCTCGTGATCCTGACTTTGTGATCCGCCCACCTCAGCCTCCCAAAGTGCTGGGATTACAGGCGTGAACCACCTTGCCCGGCCCTATGCAATGAACATTTCTAAGGTGGAAAGGCTTTTAAAGTTTGAACAAGCAATGATGCCACATCTCTATCTGAATGGCAAATGTCTGAGTTTATCAAAACAATCGATAAATTGCATTTCCAGGCCGGGTGCAGTGGCTCATGCCTGTAGTAATCCCAGCACTTTGGGAGGCTGAGATGGGCGGATCACTTGAGGTCAGGAAACCAGCTTGGCCAACATGGTGAAACCCCATCTCTACTAAAAATACAAAAAATTAGCTGGGCATGGTGGCTGGCACCTGTAATCCCAGCTACTTGGGAGACTGAGGCATGAGAATCACTTGAACTGGGGAGGTGGAGGTTGCAGTCAGCCAAGATCACGCCACTATACTCTAGCCTGGGTGGCAGAGCGAGACTCTCTCAAAAAAAAAAAAAAATTGCATTTCCAATAATTGGGGGAATAGAGTGATTCCCTACCCCTAGGTGGTAGGTGGGAAGTTTCTAAGAGAGTCCTTCCTTTTGGCATATTCCAGATCATGAAAATGGAACTGGGACTAACACCTATGCGGCCTTAAACAGTGTCTATCTCATGATGAACAACCAAATGCGACTCCTCGGCATGGAAACGATGGCCTGGCAGGAAATCCGACATGCCATCATCCTTCTGACAGATGGTGGGTATCATGGTCTCTGAGTGTGTCTGGAATAGTGGAAGGGGCACCAATATGGGGTCAGAAGCCCTGAATTCTGATTCTCCCTCTGCCTGCCACTTTGGGCCCCAGTTTTGTTTTTGTTTTTAGAGATGGGGCCTTGCTATGTTGCCCAGCTGATCTCAAACTCCTGGCTTCAAGCAATCCTCCTGCCTCAGCCTCCCAAAGTGCTGGGATTACAGGCATGAGCCACCACACCTGGCCCAGTTTCTTATTTATAAAATAGGGCCAGTGTGGTGGCTTATGCCTGTAGTCCCAGCACTTTGGGAGGCCAAAGCGGGTGGATCACTTGAGGTTAGGAGTTTGAGATCAGACTGGCTAACATGGTGAAACCCCGTCTCTACTAAAAATACAAAACCATTAGCTGGGTGTGGTGGCAGGCGCCTGTAATCCCAGCTACTTGGGAGGCTGAGGCAGGAGAATTGCTTGAACCTGGGAGGCAGAGGTTGCAGTGAGCCAAGATCATGCCACTGCACTCCAGCCTGGGTGACAGACCAAGATCCTACCTTGTCTCAAAATAAAATAAATAAATAAATAGAATTAGTGTTGATGATGATGACCGTAACCACAATGACAGCAATGATGATCATGATGGCTGTCCTCCTTTCCTTACACAATTTTTATGGAAAGCTATTTAAGTTGCCTGTGTGAAAGTGCTCTGTGTTAGCTCTTGTTACCATCTGGGAGGTAACTTGGAGATAGATGAGGAAACGTGGCTCTTGAGCAGGAATGTCGAAGGGCACGGATGCAAGGAACAGTCTGTAGTGGATCTGGCCTTGTCATTTGCCTCTTGCTATTGTCCAAATTACACAGTTCCTCCAGGACTTAGTATATAAAATGAGGATACCCACTCTACCTGGGGTTTCATGAGAATTAAATGAGTTAAAGTATAGGAAGCACCTGGCCTGGTGCCTGGAATGTAGAACATTTCAGTAAAAGTGTGTATATATATATATGTATGTATATATATATATATGTATACATACATATATATATATATATATTTATTTTTTTGAGACAGGGTCTCACTCTATTGCCCAGGCTGGACTACAGTGGTGCGATCTCGGCTCACTGCAACCTCTGCCTCCCAGGCTGAAGCAATTCTCGTGCCTCAGCCTCCAGAGTAGCTGGGACTACAGGCATGTGTCACCATGCCTGGCTAATTTTTATTTTTATTTTTTGAGATGGAGTTTCACTCTTGTTGCCCAGGCTGGAGTGCAATGGCGCGATTTCGGCTCACCGCAACCTCCGCCTCCCAGGTTCAAGCGATTCTCCTGCCTCCTGAGTAGCTGGGATTACAGGCATGTGCCACCACACCCGGCTAATTTTGTATATTTAGTAGAGGTGCGGTTTCTCCATGTTGGTCAAGCTGGTCTCAAACTCCCAACCTCAGGTGATCCACCTGCCTTGGCCTCCCAAAGTGCTGGGATTACAGGCATGAGCCACCATGCCCGGCCACACCTGGCTAATTTTTTGTGGTTTTAGTAGAGACAGGGTTTCACCATGTTGCCCAGGCTGGTCTGGAACTCCTGAGCTCAGGCAATCCGCCTTCTTCGGTCTCCCAAAGTGCTAGGATTACAGGTGTGAGCCACCATGCCCAGCCTAAAAGTATATTTTGAAGCTCTCACAGGCAATGTAAATGTTGAGGTTCCCAGGCTAAATGCTTTCCTACTCTTCCAGGGCCTGGGGAAATCCTGATATTACCTAGAAGAATTCTTTATTCTCTTTGTTCTAGGAAAGTCCAATATGGGTGGCTCTCCCAAGACAGCTGTTGACCATATCAGAGAGATCCTGAACATCAACCAGAAGAGGAATGACTATCTGGGTGAGCCCCTGCCACTGCCACCACATTTGTTCTGCTCCTGCAGAGGTCATGAGATCTTCAGCCAGGGATCCCAGCATCTTAGCTATGGTCCAGAGCCACATGGTTTTATTTCTGCGTTGTTCTGTACAAAGGCAACTCATGTTGAAGAGCCTGGGGTCAAACTACTGCCCATGGTCTCAACCTTACCTTCTTTTTTTTTTTTTTTTTTTTTAAGACAGTGTCTCACTGACACTCAGAGTATATTCCTGGAAAGATGTCCACCCATGCCGGCCCAGAAGCTGGTCCAGAAAGTAACGATGTCCACCATGCCACCATGAAGTGCAGTGGTGCAATCATAGCTTACTGCAGCCTCAAATTCCTGGTTTCAAGTGATCCCCTCAACTCAGCTTCCCAAAGTGGTAGGATTACAGGTATGAGCCACTATGCTCAGCCCGTCTTCACAAATTTTTTAAAATTAATTTTTAAATTTTTTTTGAGACAGAATCTTGCCGTGTTGCCCAGGCTGGAGTGCAGTGACTCGATCTCAACTCACTGCAACCTCCACGTCCTGGCTTCAAATGATTCTCCTGCCTCAGCCTCCAGAGTAGCTGGGATTACAGGTGTGTGCCACCATGCCCGGCTCATTTTTGCATTTTTAATAGAGACAGAGTTTCACCATGTTGGCAGTCTGGTGTCAAACCCCTGGCCTCAAGTGATCCGCCTGCCTTGGTCTCCCAAGGTGCTGGGATTACAGATAGGCATGAGCCACTGTGCCTGGCCAATTTTTAATTTTTTAATTATTATTTTTAATCAACAGCTTTAGACAGAGAACCTTGGTTTCATCTTCAGTGGGCTGTGGCCATGGGCAGTTTCTTCATCTGCAAAAGGGGAGTAGTACTAGGACCCAGCTCACAAGCTGACAGGGGAAGATGCTCAGACAAACACTGCCTGCCTGGCATAGAAAAATGCCCAGCATATGTTAGCCATGACCACGACCGTCGTCGTTATCATCATCATCATCATCATAGCATCTCATGTTTCAGGAAACTTTCCAGGAAGAAGGGACCTCGATTCCCTCTGGGGAATGTCCCTGGTGGTTGCTCTTTCAGCAGCACAGCTGGCTAACTAAGGCTTTGGCAGTTGCAGCCTCTAAAGGAAAAATTCCTCAGGTTCAGACTAAACACAAATTGCACTGACCTTTGATCAGAAAGTAATTTCAGAGAGAGAGATGCTCAGACAGGGAGGGCAGCTGGTTTTGAGCCCCAACCTTTCATCTTCCCCTTAGCTCCTCTCCTTTCCATTCACACTGCCCCCTCCCCCATCACCTGGCCCTCGGGGGTAAGCTGATTCCTCTTTAAAACTCTGGCCCAAGGAAGACAAAATTTAAAGCCCACTCCCTTCCTCCTTAGCATCACTGGACCAAGGTCAAATGCTACAAAAACATTTTATTGAAAATAAGCAGGAAACCAAACGAAAATAGTCAAAGAAAACGCACAAGGCACGATCGTTGTCTAGCTCCAACTGTAACTGTTTCTATCTGGGCCATTGCCAGATTGCCTCCTGGCTGAAGATCTCTTGGTCCACCTAAGCACCTTGCTTTTTACACACAACGCGGGGCTCTCTGAGAACAAAAATGGGCCACAAGGGGTGCAAAGGCTGGGAGAGGAGTAGACTCTGTGGTCTGTCTGAGGGCAGTTCTGACTGGCACCACAGTCGGAGGACAGGCGCGGCCTGTTGTGTGGGTCCAGGGCCTCCAGTGGGAAAACGTGGCTTTAGGCCCTTCTCCCAGATGCTACCTTTTACAGAGGAAGACCAGATCTGAGGTTTAGTTTCCATGTTGTGTTCTGAGTTCTTTCTATTCATTCAGTCATTTAAAAGTACTTACCAAACTACCACAAACCTGGGTGGCTTAGAACACAGAATTTCTTTTTCTTACAGTTCTGGAGGTTAGAAGTCTGAAATCAAGGTGTTGGCAGGGCCGTGCTTCCTCAGAAGGCTCTTGGGAAGAATTCTTTCCTGCCTTTTCCGGCTGCCGGCAGCTCCAACCTTGGCTTGCGGCAGCATAAACCCATTCTCTGCCTCTGTCTTCAACTCGCCTTCTTTTCTGTGTGTGCCTCTGTGTCATTACATGCTGTTCTCTTATATAGATAGGAGACCCACTACCTGTGTCTTTGTGTCCAAATTCCTTTCTTCTTTTTCTGTTCATTTGTTTGAGACAGAGTCTCGCTCTGTCACCCAGAAGCCCAGGCTGCAGTGCAGTGGCGGGATCCCGGCTCACTGTAACCTCTGCCTCCTGGGTTCAGGTGATTCTCGTGCCTCAGTCTCCCAAGAAGCTGGGATTACAGGCATGTGCCACCATGCCCGGCAAATTTTTGTATTTTTAGTAGAGACATGGTCTCGCCATGTTGGCTAGGCTGGTCTTAAACTCCTGGCCTCAAGGCGATCTGCCTGCCTTCGCCTCAAAAAAACTGCCGGGATTACAGGCATGAGTCACCACCATGCCCAGCCAGTTCACTTTTTTTTTTTTTTTTTTTTTTTGAGATGGAGTCTTGCTCTGTTGCCCAGGCTGGAGTGCAGTGGTGCAATCTCGGCTCACTGCAACATCCGCCTCCCGGTTCAAGCGATTCTCCTGCCTCAGCCTCCTGAGTAGCTGGGATTACAGGTGTGTGCCAGCATGTCTGGCTAATTTTTGTATTTTTAGTAGAGACAGGGTTTCACCATGTTGGTCAGGCTGGTCTTGAATTCCTGACCTCGTGATCTGCCCGCCTCAGCCTCCCAGAGTGCTGGGATTACAGGTGTGAGCCACCGTGCCCGGCTCACCTCTTCTTTTTTTTTTTTTGAGACGGGGTTTTGCTCTTGTTGCCCAGGCTGGAGTGCAATGGCGCGATCTTGGCTCACCACAACCACCGCCTCCTGGTGATTACAGGTGTGAGCCACCACGCCTGGCTCTGGCTTACCTCTTCTTATAAGGACCTCAGTCATTGGATTAGAGCTCACCCTAATCTAGTATGACTTAATCTTAACTTGATTACATCTGCAAAGACCCTTTTTCCAAATAAAGTCACAGATACTGGGGATTAGGACTCGAACACATCTTTCTGGGGGACACAATTCCACCATTACAGGGAATAAACAGGATAAGAAAACCATAGAACCCAGCAGGTGGTAGGTGACACAAGCTAAGGGGTGTTGCCATGTTGCCCAGGCTGGTCTCAAACTTCTGGCTTCAAGGGATCCTCCCACCTTGCCTCCCAAAGTGGGGATGAAAGTTTGTCTGGGGCATTGCAGTTTTAGACAGGAAGACCAGGGAAGGCCTCACTGAGAAGGTGACATTTGAGCCAAGACTTAAAAAGGTACGAAAGTGAGCCATGTGGAAGTCTGGGGGGGAGGAGTGAACTAGGCAGAGGCACAGCTGGGCAAAGGGCCTGAGGTGTGACCATGCCTATGGATTTGAGGAACTTCAAAGAGGCTGTGTGCTGCAGGAGAGTGAAGGGCAGGGAGTGGCAGGAAATGAAGGCAGACAGGTAGCAGTGGGGAGGACGCAGGGGTCCAGCTCATGTAGGTCTTGATTGGACACAGTGAGTTTCAGATGACAGCCTCCTGTCTCATGGGGTAGCCCCAAAGCCACAGGAGTCTGGTGATTTCCCTCTTCCCCACCAGACATCTATGCCATCGGGGTGGGCAAGCTGGATGTGGACTGGAGAGAACTGAATGAGCTAGGGTCCAAGAAGGATGGTGAGAGGCATGCCTTCATTCTGCAGGACACAAAGGCTCTGCACCAGGTCTTTGAACATATGCTGGGTGAGTGAGCTTTGCCCTCCTTGGTGTGGGGAGGATGGTGAGGAGCCCGCCAGAGGCCCGTGTTGGGAACCTGGACACAGTGCCCCTCACTTGCCTCCTTCCCCATCTGATCCTCACACCCACAGATGTCTCCAAGCTCACAGACACCATCTGCGGGGTGGGGAACATGTCAGCAAACGCCTCTGACCAGGAGAGGACACCCTGGCATGTCACTATTAAGGTACCAGGAAGGAGGGGCAGGGCTTGGATTCCAGAGGTAAAAGCGGCCATGGGCCAGACATACTGCAATCTCTGAAAATCACCTGTTCCCCTGCAGCCCAAGAGCCAAGAGACCTGCCGGGGGGCCCTCATCTCCGACCAATGGGTCCTGACAGCAGCTCATTGCTTCCGCGATGGCAACGACCACTCCCTGTGGAGGGTCAATGTGGGTAAGGCAGGGGATGCACCAGCCTCCTGATCCTGAAGCCACAGATCCTACCACCTCACCCAGCCTCTGGCCCCTGCAGGAGCCCTGGTCTAGCCTAATCTAGTGTATCATTTCCAGGAGACCCCAAATCCCAGTGGGGCAAAGAATTCCTTATTGAGAAGGCGGTGATCTCCCCAGGGTTTGATGTCTTTGCCAAAAAGAACCAGGGAATCCTGGAGTTCTATGGTGATGACATAGCTCTGCTGAAGCTGGCCCAGAAAGTAAAGATGTCCACCCATGCCAGGTGCCTGGAGTCTGGGATGGGAGGGTGCCCTGCAGGGAAGAGTGCTCTGGAGATCCCTGGAAGAGATACTGGGGACAGGCTGGTGTGACCCTTGCTCTTCTCCCCAGGCCCATCTGCCTTCCCTGCACGATGGAGGCCAATCTGGCTCTGCGGAGACCTCAAGGCAGCACCTGTAGGGACCATGGTGAGTGCTGGGACTTATGGTGCTTGAGAGCTGGGGCCGGGGTTTGGGGGTGATAACAAGGACTAGGCTGCAGTCCCCAAGCCAGGAACCTGGATTCTGGGTAAAAGGACCAGCACCAACATCCCCTTCTCTTGACTATAGAGAATGAACTGCTGAACAAACAGAGTGTTCCTGCTCATTTTGTCGCCTTGAATGGGAGCAAACTGAACATTAACCTTAAGATGGGAGTGGAGGTGAGGGTCTCAGGTTGGGGATGCTGGGATCCCCCTGTGACAGCTCCCAGAATGTCTCTCTTCCTTCTCCAGGTCTGGCTGCTTTCTCTCTCTGACGCGGGTCACCCCTCCTCCCAAGCCTCACAAACCTGCTAGGTGTCCCTGGGTCTGCTTATTCTTTTTTTGTTGTTATTGAGATGGAGTCTTGCTCTGTCTCCCAGGCTGGAGTGCAGTGGCACGACCTCAGCTCACTGCAACTTCTGCCTCCTGGGTTCAAGCGATTCTCCTACTTCAGCCTCCCGAGTAGCTGAGATTACAGGTGCCCACCACCACACCAGCTAATTTTTGTATTTTTAGTAGAGACGGGATTTCGCCATGTTGGCCAGGATGGTCTTGAACTCCTGACCTCAAGTGATCTGCCTGCCTCAACCTCCCAAAGTGCTGAGATTACAGGCGTGAGCCACTGCACCCACCCGGGTCTGCTTATTCTACCCTTCTCTCTGGTTCCACCCCTGCTGCAGTGGACAAGCTGTGCCGAGGTTGTCTCCCAAGAAAAAACCATGTTCCCCAACTTGACAGATGTCAGGGAGGTGGTGACAGACCAGTTCCTATGCAGTGGGACCCAGGAGGATGAGAGTCCCTGCAAGGGTGAGTCCCTCACCATGCCTGGATTCCCAAGGGGAAGGCCACCTGTGTCTCTGTGGCCAGCATGCATGCCAGAACACCAGTCCACTGCCCTAGATGACACTGTCTCCTGTCACCCTTTGCTGGCAGGAGAATCTGGGGGAGCAGTTTTCCTTGAGCGGAGATTCAGGTTTTTTCAGGTGAGAAGGTAGAAGCTTGCAGGACCCAGGGGTTACAGGATCTCAGCCTTGTTGGGGGGATGAGGGAGGCCTTTGAGGGATCTAGGGAGGTTGGGGCTTACAGTTGGGGCTGTGGCAGCCTCCCAGCCAGTTCTCTCCTTTTCTCCAGGTGGGTCTGGTGAGCTGGGGTCTTTACAACCCCTGCCTTGGCTCTGCTGACAAAAACTCCCGCAAAAGGGCCCCTCGTAGCAAGGTCCCGCCGCCACGAGACTTTCACATCAATCTCTTCCGCATGCAGCCCTGGCTGAGGCAGCACCTGGGGGATGTCCTGAATTTTTTACCCCTCTAGCCATGGCCACTGAGCCCTCTGCTGCCCTGCCAGAATCTGCCGCCCCTCCATCTTCTACCTCTGAATGGCCACCCTTAGACCCTGTGATCCATCCTCTCTCCTAGCTGAGTAAATCCGGGTCTCTAGGATGCCAGAGGCAGCGCACACAAGCTGGGAAATCCTCAGGGCTCCTACCAGCAGGACTGCCTCGCTGCCCCACCTCCCGCTCCTTGGCCTGTCCCCAGATTCCTTCCCTGGTTGACTTGACTCATGCTTGTTTCACTTTCACATGGAATTTCCCAGTTATGAAATTAATAAAAATCAATGGTTTCCACATCTCTCAGTGCCTCTATCTGGAGGCCAGGTAGGGCTGGCCTTGGGGGAGGGGGAGGCCAGAATGACTCCAAGAGCTACAGGAAGGCAGGTCAGAGACCCCACTGGACAAACAGTGGCTGGACTCTGCACCATAACACACAATCAACAGGGGAGTGAGCTGGATCCTTATTTCTGGTCCCTAAGTGGGTGGTTTGGGCTTACTGGGGAGGAGCTAAGGCCGGAGAGGAGGTACTGAAGGGGAGAGTCCTGGACCTTTGGCAGCAAAGGGTGGGACTTCTGCAGTTTCTGTTTCCTTGACTGGCAGCTCAGCGGGGCCCTCCCGCTTGGATGTTCCGGGAAAGTGATGTGGGTAGGACAGGCGGGGCGAGCCGCAGGTGCCAGAACACAGATTGTATAAAAGGCTGGGGGCTGGTGGGGAGCAGGGGAAGGGAATGTGACCAGGTCTAGGTCTGGAGTTTCAGCTTGGACACTGAGCCAAGCAGACAAGCAAAGCAAGCCAGGACACACCATCCTGCCCCAGGCCCAGCTTCTCTCCTGCCTTCCAACGCCATGGGGAGCAATCTCAGCCCCCAACTCTGCCTGATGCCCTTTATCTTGGGCCTCTTGTCTGGAGGTAAGCGAGGGTAACCTTCCCTTCCTGCTGTCTCCAGCATCCCTCCTTGGCCTTTTGGGGCCAGGCTTCATCAGCCTTTCTCTTCAGGTGTGACCACCACTCCATGGTCTTTGGCCCGGCCCCAGGGATCCTGCTCTCTGGAGGGGGTAGAGATCAAAGGCGGCTCCTTCCGACTTCTCCAAGAGGGCCAGGCACTGGAGTACGTGTGTCCTTCTGGCTTCTACCCGTACCCTGTGCAGACACGTACCTGCAGATCTACGGGGTCCTGGAGCACCCTGAAGACTCAAGACCAAAAGACTGTCAGGAAGGCAGAGTGCAGAGGTTTGAGGGCAATGAGTGTGGGCAGTGGCCTAAGGCAGAAACAGGGCAGGCGGCAGCAAGGTCAGGACTAGGATGAGACTAGGCAGGGTGACAAGGTGGGCTGACCGGGAGTAGGAGCAGTTTTAGGGTGGCAGGCGGAAAGGGGGCAAGAAAAAGCGGAGTTAACCCTTACTAAGCATTTACCCTGGGCTTCCAGGCAGCCCTGGAAGTCAAGAGAACACTCAGAAATGGGGAGGGAGAAGCAGTGGAAATCCATATGGGTTGAGGAGTAGGTAAGATGCTGCTTCTGCGGGACTGGGAATGCGCTGTTTCTCAGTGACATGGTCTCCGAGACCAGGAGGGATACACCTAAGGCAGCCTTTCCCTCTTGATGACTTCTACTTGTCCCCCCTTCTCAAAGCAATCCACTGTCCAAGACCACACGACTTCGAGAACGGGGAATACTGGCCCCGGTCTCCCTACTACAATGTGAGTGATGAGATCTCTTTCCACTGCTATGACGGTTACACTCTCCGGGGCTCTGCCAATCGCACCTGCCAAGTGAATGGCCGGTGGAGTGGGCAGACAGCGATCTGTGACAACGGAGGTGAGAAGCATCCCCTCCCCCTACATTGCTGTCTCCCTGACGGCGCCCAGCCCGAGGAGTGGGCACTCGGCTCCGGACACTGTAACTCTTGCTCTCTACCTTGCTCACGGGGCCTCAGGCTTCAGTGCTTACCTCGATGTCTCATACCTCTGCAGCGGGGTACTGCTCCAACCCGGGCATCCCCATTGGCACAAGGAAGGTGGGCAGCCAGTACCGCCTTGAAGACAGCGTCACCTACCACTGCAGCCGGGGGCTTACCCTGCGTGGCTCCCAGCGGCGAACGTGTCAGGAAGGTGGCTCTTGGAGCGGGACGGAGCCTTCCTGCCAAGGTGACCTTTGACCTGTACCCCCAGGTCAGATCCTGGTCTTCCATCCTACTGTCTTCTCTCCCCACCTCAACCCTGCTCTTTCCTCACTTTGTTTAAACCTCCCTGTACAACTATCTCACTTCTGAGCCTTTTATACCCTGGAAACCCATGATCCCCCGTCTCTTTGGTCACTGTATCCCTGACACTCCCAGACATTTGACCTCATTTCTGACTCTCCCAGACTCCTTCATGTACGACACCCCTCAAGAGGTGGCCGAAGCTTTCCTGTCTTCCCTGACAGAGACCATAGAAGGAGTCGATGCTGAGGATGGGCACGGCCCAGGTTTGAAGACAGAGAAGGGAGGCAGGGCAGGGAACTGGGGGAAAATGGAGAAGGGACAGAACTGTTAATGCTGGAGCCTGAGCCACTCTCCTGGCACCCAGGGGAACAACAGAAGCGGAAGATCGTCCTGGACCCTTCAGGCTCCATGAACATCTACCTGGTGCTAGATGGATCAGACAGCATTGGGGCCAGCAACTTCACAGGAGCCAAAAAGTGTCTAGTCAACTTAATTGAGAAGGTGGAATCCTCCTATCCCTGAACTCGGGGGAATGGAATCTCGCTGATCTTCCAGGACTAGCTCCCTGATCATTCCAGCCCCTCTGAACAACAGGGCCCCAGGAAAATCTCCAGGTCCTATTCTGTCCTCCTTCCCTTTTACTTGAAGCAGTTTCTTGACTGGTAATTCCTCCATGAACCTCAGCCCTTGAGCCTCTTACTGAGAGCCTCCCTGTCCCAGCAAAGTCGCTGAAATCTCCCAATCACAGTATTCTATTTTCAATGCCATGGCGCCTTGTTCTCCTCACCCACAGGTGGCAAGTTATGGTGTGAAGCCAAGATATGGTCTAGTGACATATGCCACATACCCCAAAATTTGGGTCAAAGTGTCTGAAGCAGACAGCAGTAATGCAGACTGGGTCACGAAGCAGCTCAATGAAATCAATTATGAAGGTCAGAGGTTAGGGAATGGTGGGAGGTTCACTTTGGGGTCAGGAGGTTCAGGGTGGAGGGGGTCATGAGACTACCTTGAGGGCGACAGGGAGGACCACTTTGTAGTCAAAGGTTGAACAGCAGGATCGTTGGGCAATGGAGGTTAGTGGGAACCTGTTGGGGGCTGGAAGGGCCACTTTGTGGTCAAAGGGAAGTCCGTGTAATGATGATTAACTTAAAAAGTTGAAAGATGTGGGATTTCAGTTGCAGATTGGTCTCTGGGGTTAAAAGATGGCTTGGAAGACCAGGTGAGGTGATGGTCTCTTCCCTCTCCACAGACCACAAGTTGAAGTCAGGGACTAACACCAAGAAGGCCCTCCAGGCAGTGTACAGCATGATGAGCTGGCCAGATGACGTCCCTCCTGAAGGCTGGAACCGCACCCGCCATGTCATCATCCTCATGACTGATGGTCAGAAGGGACCTCTCTCCTGTCCCAGCCTCCCCACCTTCTCAGACCAGCATGTGGCCCTTAAGTCCACTTGTAACACTATACCCATGGTTGGGGCCCTGAATGTGACTCATAGCTGGCTGTTCATCTCTCCTGTGACCCTTCATAAGGAATTCTTCCTAAGCCCTGTGATCAACTATCTCTAACCCTTCCTCAACTTGCTCACCCTGCCATGTGTATCCCTGCCTTTAGCCAGTTTATCTTCCTTATCTCCTACCCTCATGGTCCTGTCTCTTCTGCAGGATTGCACAACATGGGCGGGGACCCAATTACTGTCATTGATGAGATCCGGGACTTGCTATACATTGGCAAGGATCGCAAAAACCCAAGGGAGGATTATCTGGGTGAGTAACCTGCCTAGGACCCAGCACCCCACTTCCTCAGGGCTTGGACCCTCATCCTTCCTTTTTATCCCTCAGATGTCTATGTGTTTGGGGTCGGGCCTTTGGTGAACCAAGTGAACATCAATGCTTTGGCTTCCAAGAAAGACAATGAGCAACATGTGTTCAAAGTCAAGGATATGGAAAACCTGGAAGATGTTTTCTACCAAATGATCGGTAGGGAGATACAAGGGAATAAAGAACACAACTCTCCTCAGGTTCCCCTGAAGTAATTCATTCTTCCTCTACACCTGAAGCTCTAGTTGCCTGGAAAGCCTTCTTCATTCCTCCTTCTCTACCTCAGTGTCACTATTCTTGTTTCCTGGCACTGTTCACTTAACCTTAGAATCACAGAGCTCTGAGCACTTCAGAGATCTTTCTACAGTCCTACATTTGACACGTGGAAACAGAAGCCAAAGGAGGTCAAGGGACAGCAAGTTAGCAACAAGGGTGGGCTTGAAAACAGCCAGGCCTCTGACAGCTTGATCCCAAGTTCTTTCCCTTTTCAGTCCACCATAGCAGTTTTCTCCTAACACGAGGAAACAAATACCCGTGGTCTTTCCCTTTCTCCTTTTGGGCCTTTGCTCCCCATAGACTCCTACCCAAAAGGCTGCTGCCATTTGGGAATGAAGTGTTCCGAGTTTTCAGCACATTCTCCTTCTCTGCCAGATGAAAGCCAGTCTCTGAGTCTCTGTGGCATGGTTTGGGAACACAGGAAGGGTACCGATTACCACAAGCAACCATGGCAGGCCAAGATCTCAGTCATTGTAAGCACAGAATCCCAGTAGTGGGGACTTGGGGGAGGTGAGGTCAAGGTGAAATGGGAGTAGGGGAAGGAAAAAATGGCCATAAGAGATGGTGGTTTGTGAAAGTTGAGCTTTCCCTCTCTACTGTTGTGTCCCCAGCGCCCTTCAAAGGGACACGAGAGCTGTATGGGGGCTGTGGTGTCTGAGTACTTTGTGCTGACAGCAGCACATTGTTTCACTGTGGATGACAAGGAACACTCAATCAAGGTCAGCGTAGGTAAGGATGCAACTGAAGGTCCTGGGCTGCACCTATGCTCTCCAGGCAACACCTCCCACTTTCTACAGATCCTACACTCCACCCATCCTCAATGCAGCCCCATTCCTTGCACCCCAGACCAGTCAGGGATGGGGGAAGACGTGAAGTTAGGAATGACACGGGGCCAGAGGCAGGAAGCTGCCCACAAAGAGGTGGTACCTACTCTCCTACTTCAGGAGGGGAGAAGCGGGACCTGGAGATAGAAGTAGTCCTATTTCACCCCAACTACAACATTAATGGGAAAAAAGAAGCAGGAATTCCTGAATTTTATGACTATGACGTTGCCCTGATCAAGCTCAAGAATAAGCTGAAATATGGCCAGACTATCAGGTGAGAGCGTCCAGATCCCTGAGGAAAGGCTGGGAAAGGCTGGAGGACTGGGGTGAGGAGCAGGCCTGGTTTGCTGTTCTCCTTGTCCTTTATAGGCCCATTTGTCTCCCCTGCACCGAGGGAACAACTCGAGCTTTGAGGCTTCCTCCAACTACCACTTGCCAGCAACAAAGTAAGACATACTTGGCAAGAGGATAAGGATGAGATCCCAAGAGACAAGTGGGGCATGAGAGGGAGGTGCAATAGGAAGAGATGATGCCTGGCCCAGAACCTAGCTCTAGAAGGGCTTAGGGGACATCTACTGAGTGACAAAGGCAATGGGGAGATGACAGTGGTGGGAGCAGCTGAAGTGACGCAGTCTATTCGTCCAGAGGAAGAGCTGCTCCCTGCACAGGATATCAAAGCTCTGTTTGTGTCTGAGGAGGAGAAAAAGCTGACTCGGAAGGAGGTCTACATCAAGAATGGGGATAAGGTGAGAAACGGGCATCCTAAGGAGGCACTCTAGGCCCCAATCCTTCCTAAGCCACTTCTGTTCATTACTTCTCCATGCTTCCCACCTCCCCTACAGAAAGGCAGCTGTGAGAGAGATGCTCAATATGCCCCAGGCTATGACAAAGTCAAGGACATCTCAGAGGTGGTCACCCCTCGGTTCCTTTGTACTGGAGGAGTGAGTCCCTATGCTGACCCCAATACTTGCAGAGGTGAGAGAATGCTCTTTGGTTGTGCTACAAGTGCCCAAGGCCCAACAGTCCTTTTCTCTACAGCTTCTCCTCTCCTTGCAGGTGATTCTGGCGGCCCCTTGATAGTTCACAAGAGAAGTCGTTTCATTCAAGTGAGTCCTCCCTTTCCTATCTGGGGAGATGCCAAGTGGTCAGCATGGGCCCCAAAGCAGGAAAGCTCAATGCATGTGGCTAGTAATTCGAGGTAGGCAGAGCCTGCCTCACCTTAGGACCGCATGTCTTGCCTGCGTGTGTCAAGAACGAGGCTGAGCTGGGTCCCTAGTCTGATTCCTTTAGGTCAGCTAAGACGCAAGCAGGAACAGCCATGCTTCCAGGATTAGGAATTCTACTGAATGATCCATGGCACCCCACTGCCTCTGCAGGTTGGTGTAATCAGCTGGGGAGTAGTGGATGTCTGCAAAAACCAGAAGCGGCAAAAGCAGGTACCTGCTCACGCCCGAGACTTTCACATCAACCTCTTTCAAGTGCTGCCCTGGCTGAAGGAGAAACTCCAAGATGAGGATTTGGGTTTTCTATAAGGGGTTTCCTGCTGGACAGGGGCGTGGGATTGAATTAAAACAGCTGCGACAACACCTGTGTTCCAGATCCTTTTGGGGCAAGGGAGTGGGGAACAGGCACTGGCCATGTTGTTACACTGAGATCAAACCTGACAGCCGTTTTTAAAGGTTTAACCCCAATCCCAAGTGCTGAAAAACCAGAGGCTGAGGGAGATGTGTAAGCTTCCACCTCAGTGTTTTACTGAGACCAGCATTGGGGCATATGAGGCACAAGGAATCCAGCTCTGTTCCCTAGAAGCCATCCACAAGGTTTTCCTTGTAGACGTCATCACTGTAGACAATCTGGGTCCTCTTGTCCCGGTGGCAACCCTTAGGGCTGTTCTGGACAGCTAGGGAGGGAGGAGAGGAACAGTTAAGGTCTAAAGGAGATCATAGAACAGACCCTGAGGCTGACTCCTGACCACCTCACTCCTGGCCACTGGCCCCTGGAAGCCCAGTTTCCACGCTGCCCTCTGGTGGCCAGGATGGCCTGTCTTCCTTAGCTCCTTTGTGCCAACCCATGGCCAAGAAAAGTATAAGTGGACATTTTGATGAATGTTTTGTTCTTAGAAAAATCCCAAATGTCATTGTTGAGACACGTGAATGATATTAACCCACTACTTACAGTCAGTATGTCAGAAGCTAAAAACTAGAAAACCTCTGTAGCCCTTTTTTGACATGCTGGTCAATTCTAGTTCCTTTCTTTTGCCTGAAGGGCCACTGTAGCTGAGCCCTTCTTTCTGCTCACTCCTTTCCCAGGAAAATCTACTTTCAGGGAAAATGGATTATTCACACTAAGAAATGCTACTAGCTCCACCAGAACTCATTCAGGGTGTAGCTTTGGCCCTCACCATTCTCTCTCAAGCCTCTAGCTGTTTCTTCCCCTTCCTCTTTCCTCCCTCCACCAGACATGTTACTCTCTTCACCCCATCCAATGGTTCCATCCCCACCACCCTTGAGCTACAGAGAATCTCTCTCACCCACTCCCATCCTGTGATCTCTGTGCCTCAACACTGCTGGCTACTCCCTCTTTCTCAAAGTGTGTGTCCTTTTGCTTCAGTGGCCCAGGCCCCTGCGGTGCTGCTCCCAGCCCTCCGACCCCTCCTCCTGTCTCCTTTGCTAACGTTAGGCTCAACGTTAGCCTAACATGTCAGGACAGCTGGGGACATGTGGGGTGTGAGGTGAACAGTCCTGTTTCCTAACATAGTCCCAGAGTACTCCTCAAACTGAGTCCTGGGTCGTTTTTTTTTCTCTGAAATCAGAGTCTCCCTGATGATCCTATTGTTTGGCAGCCACCCTGTGATGTGGATGACTTAATCTATGTTTTCCTTCCTTACCTCACACCTGAGTTCCAGATCCCTGATTTCGAATACTTATGAAACTCACTCTACTCCATCTCAAAATGAACAAGCCCCATGAGACACTCATCTTCCTCACCAATCTCACTCCAGCTCCCACTTTCTTCCCTGTTCCAGTCACTGCTTTGGAAGCTGTTTTCAATCCTTTTCTCTCCTTTCTTTACCTCTAACTGACAGAGGATCTGAAATTTTCCTTCCCATTCCCATAGCCTCCGCACACACTCTGACCTCGATCATCTCTAGGAAACCCAAGGATGTGTGGGGGAACCAAAAGGAATGGCCTGTGGGGGAAAGGATGGGAAAGGAAGAATCCCATTCTTACCGAGGGAGCCCCAGACAGACTTGCCAGTAGCGGCATCCAGCATGGGCTGTTTTCGGGCTATGTTGACTTTGAGCTGTACAGACTCCACCTGGGTCCCGTTGAGCTGAAGCAGAAGAGGGGAGGCAGAGGATGGGGAGGAAAACATTACAGATAAACCAAAGAAGTTATTCCAGGAGTTGCTATCCTAGGAGGAGACTGAATAAGGAATCTGAGAATGTGAGTTTTTCTGTGTGAATAGGGAGAGGCTTTCTTTATCAAGAGGAACCAACTTCTTCCTGGCATCTAGTATTTTGAGGAGAACACATGAGAACAGCAGAAGCGATGGGAAGAACAGATTTGGGAAGTTCCAACCTCAGCAACGGCCTGATCTGCTGACTCCATCTTTTCATAGGTGACGAAGGCACAGCTGGGATAAGAGAAAACACGGTCAGTGGAGAGCCAAGGGGCTCTTCTGGACCCAACCAAACCCAGTGATAATAGGCGGCTGCAGGGAGGGCAGCTTCTTCCCTCAGGTCTCACACCCCAGGATTCTCCCAGGACTTCTCATCATGCCCTGTTGTCATCCTTACTTTCTGGGTGGGTCCATGGAGAGGTCAATGATGTTTCCAAAAGGAGAGAAGGCCCCACGGAGAAGGGTGGGTGTCATGTCTTCTCCATATACATAGAGAGTATTCCCTTTCCTAGGGGCTCGCCGTTCAGGGAATGAATCCGACCCTTTGGGAGCACAAATCATAGTCACAAGACATAGCCCATGCCACATTTCACTTAGTAGGACCCACATAAACCTCAGTTAAGGTCACCTTGACCTCCAGCCAAAATCACTCACTGCGGAAAGGACCCTCTCGGTCTCGGTCTCGATCCCGCTCCCGATCCCTGTCCCGTTCCCGGTCTCGATCTCGATCCCGATCCCGATCCCTGTCCCGCTCTCTGTCTCTGTCTCGATCCCGGTCTCGATCCCGCTCCCGATCTCGGTCTCTGTCCCGGTTCCTCTCATGGCTGCGGTCCCGGCTGCGGCTTCGGGGAGGGGAGGCTGAGGAGTGGGCACCACTGCGTTCTTCATAGCCCCAGTCAAAGCTTCGAGGGGGACCATCACCAGCCCCTGGGCCCTCTGCCTCTTCTCCATCTGGTCCTAGTTCTCGAAGTCGATCACTAGAAGACACAAAGCTGGGGAGATGCAGACTGAAGATCAAAGGGGGGTTTTACCTTCTCCCCTCAGACCCTGTGGAGACTCAATATTCCCTCTATAGCCCAGCTCCTACAGCCCAAACCTCCCAAGGACTCAGGCAATCAACTCCACCAAATGGGCCCAGCCTTATCTCTACTCTCTAACCTCTCATACAGAGATTTCCTCTGGGGACGTCTGGATGACTGTAAAAGAGACCAAGAACAGTTAAGATGATTTCCAGTTGCTGACATGTGGTCCAAAATATATTTGTCTCTCATATTCCTCCATCCCCAACCCCTCAGGGACAGAAATTAGGAGCCTTTACCTCTTGCAGGTCATCATCAGCAGATATGCTCCTCTGGAACGGCTGGAAAGTGGGGACTGGTCCCTTCTCGGGGTCCTGGAGTGGTGAGAGACCTACCTCAGTGTGGAGCAGGAGGTTGCCCAACCATGGACCAGAGGTGTTCCTCTTCCCTCACCCTCTTCTAGGTTTCCTCTGATCTTTTCTTCCCTTTTAATTCTACATACATTTCTTATTTGACGTGGTTTTACTTATTTTTTTTTTTTTTTTTTGAGACACGGTCCTGCTCTGTTGTCCAGGCTGGAGTGCAATAGAGCAATCGTAGCTTGCTGCAGCCTTGACCTCCCATGCTCAAGCAATCCTCCTACCTCAGCCTCCCTAGTAGCTGGGACTAGAGATGTGCTCTACCATGCTTGGCTAATTTCTGTATTTTTTTTTTTTTTTGTAGAGATAGGGTTTCACTATGTTGCCAGGGCTGGTCTCAAACTCCTGGGCTCAAGCAATCCTCCTACCTCGGCCTCCTAAAGTGCTGAAATTAACCAGGAATGAGCCATTGCCGCACCTGCCATTGTGGCTTGTTTTGTTTTGTTTTTGAGACAGAATCTTGCTCTGTCGTCCAGGCTGGAGTGCAGTGGTGTGATCTCCACTCACTGCAACCTCTGCCTCCTGGGTTCAAGTGATTCTCTGGCCTCAGCCTCCTCAGTAACTGGGACTATAAGTGTGCACCACCACATTCTGCTAATTTTTTTTTTTTTTGAGACGGAGTCTCGCTGTCACCCAGGCTGGAGTGCAGTGGCACAATCTCGACTCACTGCAAGCTCCGCCTCCTGGGTTCAAGCAATTCTCCTGCCTCAGCCTCCCAAGTAGCTGGGACTACAGGCGCCCGCCACCACGCCCGGCTAATTTTTGTATTTTTAGTAGAGATGGGGTTTCACCTTGTTAGCCAGGATGGTCTCGATCTCCTGACCTCGTGATCCGCCTGCCTCGGCCTCCCAAAGTGCTGGGATTACAGGTGTGAGCCACCGCGCCCGGCCTCACACCCTGCTGATTTTTGTATTTTTAGTAGAGACGGGGTTTTACCATGTTGGCCAGGTTGGTCTTAAACTCCTAATCTCAAGTGATCTGCCCACCTCAGCCTCCCAAAGTGCTGGGATTACAGGCATGAGCCACCACGCCCAGCTGGTATTTTTTATAAGTGACTCGATATATTATGTATTCAGTTTATTTGAACCTCTCTTGAACCTGATAACATTTTCAGCCCTTTCCATCCCTTAGGGCAACATATTCCAAGAGCTCCAATCCAAGGTGGATTAGAACCACAGAATTTGTAAAATGGAGAATTCAGGAGTCGTCTAGTTTTTTCATTTTATACATGAGAGGTGAAACTCAGAATGGTACAGCAATTTGCCAGTGCTTGAGTATGCATATTTTTCCCCAAACCCATCTACATTCCAACTTGGAGGGATGCCCTTTAAACAATCTTTCTGCTTGTGCTCACCTTTAACTTCCCCTCAAGGGTTCGAGAACGCTTGAAGCCTGAGTTCTTGGTCTCAGCCTTGATGGCACTGATGGCTCCTGACTTCACCAGCTGCTTTGCCTGCTCTGTTGCTGTGGCTGTGTCCATGACAGGCTGCTCTGATAGTGCTGGAGAGACAAGGGGAAGAGGCATTATGTTGGCCAAGCCATGATGAAGGTCAGCTCCATGCTGCCCACTTCCAGTCCATCCCCATTTCCCCTGTCACTCACAGCGTTTGACACCACCTTGGCTGGTTGTGCTGCTGCTACTTTGCTTCTTCAGAGCCAGCAATGCCTTTTTCTGGGAACAAGGGTGAGAAGAGAGAGGTAAGTGAGGGCCAGCCCCTAGCCGGTTCCTCTCCTAAGGCCCCTGGGCACATCACTCCAGGGACCGTCTTTCTTGATGCCCTCAGAGTGGTACACTGATGTGCTCTGCCTCTTGCCTCTGGTCCCCTAGATCATGTATGATGCTGGAAATTCCTAATCTAACCAAACCACGGAACCCAGAGGTTTTCCAGAGTGTTACATTTTTGAAGTTGAAGACAAATAACTCAATCATGGACTAGAATCCTAGGATATAAGCTGCAAGTAAGTATAAGTTTATGTGCCTTTCCTGGAAGCTTCATCCATCTATTTCCTGCATATTGAATGAGGCCCAGCCATGACTTCGTAACAGGGATATCCAGGAGGCTAATGCATTGTTCCTACCCTCAAGAAGCTTACAGTCTGAGAAATAAAATACATTGAGTTAGCAATACAATTATAAGAGGTGCAGATTATTCATAGCTGAAAGCTAGTAAGATTTTCTGATGTTTAATGGCTATTAAACTAGGCCCTCTCCCGTATCTCTGCACAACACAGAGAGGAGAAGGGTATTTTAGAAAAAGAAAACAGGGTGGCAAAGATGCAGAGATAAGAAGGCTTTGGGAATGCATCTTTTGGAAGTAGTGAATAGTTCTACTTTACTAGACAAGGCTGCCAAACTAAGGTTTTGAGGCTTTTTTATAGACAATGTGAAGCCATTTATGGTTTTTGAGAAACAGAGGGAGCAGAATTTTGTGTTTTCAATGGATCATTTGAACAGGAGTGAAGAAGTCTGTTCAAAAAAAAAGACTGAGAAATTTGTTGAGAGACCATTACAATGGCCCACATGAATGTCAATAAAGCCCTGCTCGGGGGAATGCACAGTGAAGAATAAACAGGAAAAATTACTTCAAAAGAAGAAACAATAAGACTTGGCAAAGGTTTGACTATGCAAATAGTGGGGAAGTCAGAGTTTTGAGTCCAAACATGTGGCAGAATTGGTGTAGTCAATCTTATTTGGAAGATCAAGAATAGAAAGATGATAGCTTCAACACTGAGTATCTGAAGTTTTTCAGTATAACACTGGATAGAACTGGAAAAAACAAACTTGGGGATCATCAGCTCTTAAGCGGTACTAAAAGCCATGGGAAAGGAAGACAATCCATGGCAAATTGCATAGAAAAGACAGAAGGTCCACACCAAGGCTTGGGAAAGCCCACCTCTCGAAGCTACACTGTGAGGTGATATGTCTCTAGGTATGGGCCAGAAAAACTTCCCCATTCGCTCACACTCACCCCATATCTTCTCAGAGTGCAGAGTCTGTGAAAGGTTAGGCCATGTCCACACACAGTCCCTCACCTTTTTCTTGAGCTTGTTGAATTTCTTCTGCAGAGCCTCCTCTTCCTCGCTCAGTCCGGGGGGTATCACCAACATGGTGGCTCCTAGTTCAGGGGCAGGGCCCAAGACATCTTTCTCCACTGTTACCACCCGGGGTTCACACGCCGTCCACACTGTACCCAACCCCACCCCTTCAGGTCTGCCTACTCTTGTCTTTGGCTTTCCCTACCCCTTGCTTAAACCAGGCTGCTGTCCAAGCTCCCGCTGGTCGGGATCATCCAGCATTCCCTCCTGTCTCCAGGGATCACAGACACCAGCACCTTTAGGTACCATGTGGTTCAAGGAGGGACAAATATCCACTCCGTCGGAAAGACGATGGCACCCGACCCCCCTACCCTCGCTAGGGTAAGGACAACCGCGGGGTTTGAACGGCAGAGAAGGCGGTGGAGCCAGCGTAGCGCCCGCAGAGCAACGCAAAGAGGAAGAACAGAGAAACGGCTATGAGAAAAAGGGCCGAAGAGTGAGAAGCAGAGGGCCTTACCCGAGGGGGCGGCAACCGGGGGCCCCACGGTCTCCGGCCGCGCCCGCGCTGGCCGCTGATAGCGGGCTCACAACGATGACGTAGCGAGGAGCGGAAAACGCGGTAACCAAGGCGGCCCCAGGCGCGCACTTCCGCCCGGCCTTCCACCGGTCCAGGTCTGCCCCTCCGCAGCGATAGTTCACGCTCTCGGCGGGGCTGTACCGGAAGTTGCCTCTACTTCCGCCCGTTCCGGGGCGGGGCTTACTTCGCAGCGACTACTTGCCGCACTTCCGGGCTGCCAGGCAGCTGCTGTGGCTCCAGGATGATGGAGACAGAGCGACTTGGTGAGGGGGAGGGGAGGGAAATGGAACGGAGTAGCCGATATGGAATGAACTTTGACCCCTGACTTTTGACCTTTCCCCGTAGTGCTACCCCCTCCAGATCCCCTGGACCTACCCCTTCGGGCCGTGGAGCTCGGATGCACGGGGCACTGGGAGCTGCTGAACTTGCCTGGAGCTCCAGAGAGTAGCGTGAGTGACTTTTGACCCTAACCTTTGACCCGCATTGAGTCCAAACCTCCTTCACCCTCCTCACAGTAGGATCTAGCTTAACCTTGTTCATCTGTGCCTGTACTCCTGTCCATCCCAGCCTGAAGGGGTGCTGGACAGATTACAGCCCAGTGTACCTGCAGTACGTGTGAGGACAGAGCAGAAAGGGCTGGGGATATTTTTGCTTTGAGAGCTGCTCTTTCAAATGTGGCATTTCTCCGTGGAGCTCCCTTCTGTATCCAAGCACCAGGGCACTTGGTGACTGAGATGATAGGCTTTGAGCCTCCAACCTTTCATCCTTAGGTCTGGGACCCCTTTTTCTAAAATCAGTGAGTCTCCAATTTCAGTGTGCTTCATGATTAGCCAGGGAGCTTTTTAAAAATGCACATTCCTAGGTCCAGCCTCCATGTTTCTGAAATCCAAAATCTGCCCCAGGTAATTCAGTAGCAGGTAGTTTTTGGCCAAGCCTGATTGTCCTAGTCTGTTTGACACATCTGCCATTTCTGATCTGAACACAAGTCCCATCATCTCTTTTGTCTGCATTTTATCCTCTTTCCTTACCTAATGCCTCTCATCTTGCCCTTGTTTCAGCTTCCCCATGGCCTCCCTCCTTGTGCCCCAGATCTGCAGCAAGAAGCAGAACAGTTGTTTCTGTCATCCCCAGCCTGGCTGCCTCTGCATGGTGTGGAGCACTCAGCCCGGTGAGGAGTCTGGAGGGGCTTAGACTAGGGTGATGGGTTCCTGAAGGAAGCTGGGACAGAGGAAGAAAGAAGACCCAAAAGTTACTATTTTTCTCTCCAGAAAATGGCAGAGGAAGACGGATCCCTGGTCTCTTTTGGCTGTCCTGGGAGCCCCAGTCCCATCCGACCTACAGGCCCAAAGACACCCAACCACAGGCCAGATACTGGGTTACAAAGAGGTAGGAGGTCAGGGGTCATGAGAAACAGTTGGGGAGAAGGGGAGGTGGTCAGAGACAAGCTCAGCCTCATTGGGGCTCTGATCTCTTGCCTTAGGTCTTGCTGGAGAACACAAATCTCTCGGCTACAACCTCCTTGTCTCTTCGCCGGCCTCCAGGGCCAGCCTCCCAGTCCTTATGGGGAAATCCAACTCAGTATCCCTTCTGGCCAGGTGACTCTTGTGGAGATGGGATGGTAGAAGAGGGTGTCTTTAATCTCCAGGGAAGGGTTCCCCACCTATCTCGTATTACCCTCATCCCATGAATCCCTGTCTGTCCTGTCTCTTCCCAGGGGGGATGGATGAACCCACCATAACAGATCTGAACACACGGGAGGAGGCTGAGGAGGAGATAGACTTTGAGAAAGGTAAGGTGGGGCTCTGAGTCTGAGCCTTGAGGAGGAAGAGCCCAGGCTATCACTGGGCTACTGCTAGCCCTCCCATGTTTTTGAGAAAATTAGAAAAAGATATTCTGTCCATAACAACCTTTACTGTCATCTGCTGGGAAATTTCTACAACAACCTTTACTGTCATCTGTTGGAAAAGTGTCATAGCAAACATCCCTATCTACAGCATCTGTCCTGTAAATGGTATCTTTTAGGTTTATATAATGTACACAATTTGTTCACCAGTGTGCAGTGACCTGATTCCATGTCCCTATCCTACAGATCTTCTTACTATTCCACCTGGTTTCAAGAAAGGCATGGACTTTGCACCAAAAGGTTAGTTTTAGTTTTTGAGTGGGGTGTAGGAGAAGTCATGTCCTTCTCCTAAGGAACAGAGATGGACATGACAAGGTTGACCTTGTTGGCTTGCTCCTCAGATTGTCCAACTCCAGCTCCTGGACTACTAAGCCTTAGCTGTCTGTTGGAGCCTCTGGATTTGGGTGGGGGTGACGAGGATGAGAATGAGGCAGTGGGACAGCCAGGAGGTCCCAGAGGGGACACTGTTTCAGCCTCTCCCTGCAGTGCTCCCCTGGCCCGAGCAAGCAGCTTGGAAGACCTAGTGTTGAAGGTTGGTGGTTCTGTGTAGTGGAGGCAAGAAAGAGCCTTGCCACCAGGATGTGGGCTGGCTAGGATGGGTCTGAGGGGAAGAAAGGGACATCTTTTGGGAGGAGTGCTAATTGAGAGCCCTCTGGTTGTATCTTTATCACTGCTACCCCTGACTCTTCCAGGAAGCGTCCACAGCTGTATCCACCCCAGAGGCCCCAGAGCCTCCATCTCAGGAGCAGTGGGCCATCCCTGTGGACGCCACCTCCCCTGTTGGTGATTTCTATCGCCTCATTCCCCAGCCAGCCTTCCAGGTACTTTGGCCCCATCTTCACACGCTCCTCTACCTCTTTCTGGGTCACACTCCCAGCCGACCCCTTGTCTCCTCTATTGGCCAGAGGTCAGATCCATCCCAGGCCAGTCTTGGTACTCAGTCCCAGCCTCGGCTGGCTCCGGCCTTCATCCGCCCGCCCTGCGTGCTCCATGAGCAGGAGGCAGCAAGGCCCCGCTCCTTTCTTCAGCTCCTGTCTATTTCTCTCTCCCATAGTGGGCATTTGAGCCAGATGTGTTTCAGAAACAGGCCATCCTGCACTTGGAACGGCATGACTCTGTCTTTGTCGCAGCTCACACATCTGCAGGAAAAACAGTTGTGGCTGAATATGCCATTGCCCTGGCCCAGAAACACATGACACGGTATGAGTTCCTTTGCCAACCTCCCCCTTCACCAGCCAGCCCCATTTTCTCCTGCATCCTTTGAAAATCTCATCTCTTCCCCCACCTCTCTAGCTCATCCTTTAAGTGAGAGGTTCAGGGCTAAGACTGAGACAAGAGCCCAGAGAGAAATGAAAAGACATGGTGGGGAGAAAGTTTAGAAGAATGACCTGGGTTAGTTTAGGAAGGGGTTGGGGACAGAATTTTTCTGGGGTTATATCATGCAGGAGAATGTAAGGGCAGTTTGGGTGAAGAAGAGGAGCACCTGAGCTTCTGGGGCATGCTTCCACGAGGGCTCCATGTGGGAGAGGAAGTGCGGGCCATGAGTCTGCGGAGGGACTGGCTAACTTCATGCTCTCTTCCCAGCACCATCTACACTTCGCCCATCAAGGCCCTGAGCAACCAGAAGTTCCGGGACTTCCGAAACACATTCGGGGATGTGGGGCTGCTCACCGGGGATGTACAGCTGCATCCGGAGGCCTCCTGCCTCATCATGACCACAGAGATCCTTCGGTGAGAGATGGACACTCAATACAGGGGAGTTTTGGCTGGGAAGATGTGGCCGTTGTGGAGAGTGTGCTGTCTGAGGAGTGGGTGGAGACGAGCCACTGGGGAGTCAATCCTTGGCCTCTTCTCCCCAGCTCCATGCTGTACAGTGGCTCAGATGTTATTCGGGACCTGGAGTGGGTCATCTTTGATGAGGTTCACTATATCAACGATGTCGAGGTAAGGGCCATGGGCTCCCCAGAACCCGGCAGTCCTCTCCTTTGGGACCAGTTGAGCGTCTCCCTTATTCCACACACTCAGGGCCCCTTACTGCTTTCTTTACCCCCATATGGAATCCTGTGCCTCTTTATGGGCAGAAGGGCGGCCCCTGCCCTCATGTGACCTCCCTTCCCTCTCTGTGCCCAGCGTGGGGTCGTGTGGGAGGAGGTGCTTATCATGCTACCTGACCACGTTTCTATCATCCTTCTGAGTGCCACCGTCCCCAACGCCCTTGAGTTTGCTGACTGGATTGGGTGAGACGTGTGTCCCGGGTTGCCTGGGTGAAGGGGGCTACAGTACTCCTTGATTCGGGTGGGGGACTAAGTCTACCACAGCAAGGAGAGCGGTCAGGCCTTAGGGGTGATGCTGGGGAACATGTCCCACCTGGTGGCTGTGGGATCCCCTTTGGGTCCAGATTACTTTGCATGTTGAAATGGGATGAGATGTTGGGGGATAGCCTTCCATTCTGGGTCTCAGAAAAGACTGGGTAAAGTTGGAGGGGTAGGGAAGGGGGTGGGGATGTGGGTTCCTTCCCACGTTCCCACCCCTGACCTGCTTCCCTCTCCTTTCTTCAGGCGGCTGAAGCGTCGTCAGATCTATGTGATTAGCACTGTAACCCGCCCCGTGCCCCTGGAGCACTATCTTTTCACAGGGAACAGCTCCAAGACCCAGGGG
This sequence comes from Homo sapiens, assembly GCF_000001405.40. Lineage (NCBI taxonomy): Eukaryota > Metazoa > Chordata > Mammalia > Primates > Hominidae > Homo > Homo sapiens. The sequence goes on from NT_167247.2 coordinate 3,305,549, forward strand.
GAGCTCTTTTTGTTGCTGGACTCCCGAGGAGCCTTCCATACAAAAGGGTAAGCCTCGAGATGGGGGAAAGAGTTAGGGCTGGGCCCCCAGCTGGACATTGTGGCTACCCCTCCCTGTGCCCCAGGTACTATGCAGCTGTGGAGGCCAAGAAGGAGAGAATGAGCAAACACGCCCAGACCTTTGGGGCCAAGCAGCCCACACATCAGGGGGGCCCTGCACAGGTGAGAACTGGGAGGGTTTTGTACCTGCCAGCACCTGTTTTTCCTCCTATCTTTTTTTTCCCCTTGTCCCCCAGGGGTTTTGACTTGAGCTTTGAGCACTGCCCCAGTTAACACTAGCTCACCTCTCATTGGTTCAGGAACTCAACCTCTGCTCCTTCCCCTTCCCCTTCCTTCTCCAGGACCGCGGAGTGTACCTGTCCCTCCTGGCCTCCCTCCGCACACGTGCCCAGTTGCCCGTGGTGGTGTTCACCTTCTCCCGGGGCCGCTGTGATGAGCAGGCCTCAGGCCTCACCTCCCTTGACCTCACCACCAGTTCGGAGAAGAGCGAGATCCACCTCTTCCTGCAGCGCTGCCTTGCTCGCCTCCGTGGCTCTGACCGCCAGCTGCCCCAGGTGCGTCTGTGTGCGTCTGTGTGCGTGCATGCACACATTTGGCAGACTGGTGGGGATAGGGTGTTCCGAGACTCCATCCCTGACCATGGGCCTCCTCCCACCAAAGGTCCTGCACATGTCAGAGCTCCTGAATCGCGGCCTGGGTGTGCACCATAGCGGCATCCTGCCCATCCTCAAGGAGATCGTGGAGATGCTCTTCAGCCGTGGCCTGGTCAAGGTGCATGTGGTGGTGGAAAGGGACTCCTCAGGGTGCTTGTTGCCCACTTAGGGGCTGCCCAGAGGGCAGAGGGGCAGAGGTTTAGGCAGGCCAGTGCTGTGGTTAAGAATCTGGGCTCTGGATTCAGACTACCTGGGTTTGAATCCCAGGTACACCATGTATTCACAGTATCATCCTGGACCAATTATTTAACCTTCCTGAACTTTAGGTTTCCCATCTTAAAATGGGGATGCATAAGATATGAATACGTAGGTCTCAGAAAAGAAACCCAGGAAGCTAGCAAGCATTCGAAAAGTTATTAGTAATCAGAAATATACAAATTGAAGTACTCACAAGATACGACTTTACAGCTATTAGACTGGTAAAATTTAGGAAACTAGTTCATGCCGAGTGTTGCCAGAGATATAGGAGGTTGTAGGGTTCTGGGAATCCTTTACGGGATGCCTAGCCAGTTTGGAATGCACGCTGGCACTATTTAGACAAAATAACTATATTGGCCGGGCATGGTGGCTCACACCTGTAATCCCAGCACTTTGGGAGGCTGAGGTGGGTGGATCACAAGGTCAAGAGATCGAGACCATCCTGGCCAACATGGTGAAACCCTGTCTCTACTAAAAATACAAAAATTAGCTGGGCATGGTGGCAGGTGCCTGTAGTCCCAGCTACTTGGGAGGCTGAGGCAGGAGAATTGCTTGAACCCAGGAGGCAGAGATTGCAGTGAGCCAAGATAGCACCGCTGCACTCCAGCCTGGGCAACAGAGGGAGACTCCATCTCAAAACAAAAACAAACAAAGAAACAAACAAAAACTATATCATACTCTGAGCTTATATTTCATTCCTGGGTATATATCACAAAGAAATTCTCACCCTGGTCTGTGAGAGAACATGTACACCCATCCTTTGTTTGTGGTGGCATGGTGTTGGTAGTACCAGGGTGCCCTTCACTGGGAGAGAGGGAAGGTTAGTGTGGGGGATGCACCCATAGAGTGTTCTGCAGCAGTTGGAAGCAGTGGGTTAGATGTGGCCACAGGAACATGGACAGATGTTGAAACACTAGGTGGAGAAAAAGAAGCAAAAAAAAATCAGATATATAACCACTTTTTATATGAATTATAAACTACAAGCTCACAAAAGAAGACATGTTCTATAAGATCATATTTATATAAAAAGATATTTGTTGGATACATTGGAATGATTGCAGTCAGGGATGGGAATGGGATATGAAGGTAAAAGTTAAGAAATAGAAATAAGTAGCTACATAAGTAAAATGAGGAAAACAATAATACCTGCCCTATAGATTTGCCTGGAGAGTTCAGTGAGATCCCATAAGTAACAACTGGGATGGTGCCTTATGCCTACAAAGTAAGGTGGGCTTGGCCAGGGCTGGGGGTGTGTGTATGTAGAGCCTTTGCTGATCCTTTCTGTTCTCCTCTGTCCCAGGTCTTGTTTGCCACAGAGACCTTTGCCATGGGAGTAAACATGCCTGCTCGTACAGTAGTGTTTGACTCCATGCGCAAACACGATGGCTCCACCTTCCGGGACCTGCTCCCTGGGGAGTATGTGCAGATGGCAGGCCGGGCAGGGCGGAGGGGCCTGGACCCCACAGGCACCGTTATCCTGCTCTGCAAGGGCCGAGTGCCCGAGATGGCAGACCTGCACCGCATGATGATGGTGAGCGGGCCAGCATGCTCGGCAGGGCCCCAGCTCCAGGACCTTGCTGGATTCTGTCTTCGATTCTCCTCTCTTCTTTTTCTTCTTCCTTTTTTTTTTGGAGACAGGGTCTTGCTCTGTTACCTAGGCTGGAGTGCAGTGGCACAATCTCGGGTCACCGCAACCTCTGCCTTCCAGGCTCAAGGGATCCTCCCACCTCAGCCTCCCAAGTAGGTGGGATTCCAGGCACATGCCACACAGGCCTGGCTAATTTTTTTTTTTTTTTTATGCTTTGTAGAGATGAGGTTTTGCTATGTTGCACAGGTTGGTCTTGAACTTCTGGGCTCAAGCAGTCTGTCTGCCTCAGCTTCCCAAAGTACTGGGATTATAGGTGTGGGCCACAGCGCCCAACTTCCTCCGACTTTTTTGTTTTGCCTGGGAGAAGCTGAGGTAGGAGTGAGTGAATCCAAGGATGAGATTGGAGCCCATCTCTTCCAGTTTTCTCCCATGTGAATATGGAGCTAGATGGGGCCTTTGAGTCCATTTATTTCAGTTTGCTCCCTTATGTTACAGAAGAGGTGAGCAAGTGGTTTGTCCAAGGCCCCATGGTTGCAGAGCTAGGACCGGATCTGACGGGAGTAGGCCCAGTCCAGAAGACTGGCTGGGGTTCAGTAGGTCCCACCCTGATCTCAGTGACTTCTGTGACCTGACTCCAGGGGAAGCCGTCCCAGCTGCAGTCCCAGTTCCGCCTCACGTACACTATGATCCTCAACTTGCTGCGAGTGGATGCCCTCAGGGTGGAGGACATGATGAAGAGGAGCTTCTCTGAGTTTCCCTCCCGCAAAGACAGCAAGGTAAGGAGCCTGGGGTAACCAGTGTGTGGAGCAGGAGGTTGGCCAAAGACAGGCTGGGAATAGGTAGGCATCCAGAGGCCAGTGTGTTGAGGGTGGGGAGTGTGACAGATTGGGCCTGGAGACTCCCCTTTCACAGCTTCCCCTGCTCCCACCCAAGGCCCATGAACAGGCCCTGGCTGAACTGACCAAGAGGCTGGGAGCTTTGGAGGAGCCTGACATGACTGGCCAACTGGTCGACCTGCCTGAATATTACAGCTGGGGGGAGGAACTGACAGAGACCCAGCACATGATCCAGGTGAGCAAGTGTGAGTGCTGAGGAGGTGATAGGAGAAGGGAAGAGAAGATCGTGTTACTCTAGGTGCTACTAAACTTAGTCCAAGTGTCTGTCCCTGTGATGCCTCCTCCCATCTGTCCTTTGCTCTTCAGCGACGCATCATGGAGTCTGTGAACGGGCTGAAGTCTCTCTCAGCAGGAAGGGTGGTGGTTGTGAAGAATCAGGAGCATCACAACGCATTGGGAGTGATCCTACAGGTGAGGGTGATGGGAATTTGGACTCCAGAGGGTGGGAGGGAGCAAGCCCTCTCTCCATTTTCCCCACTTGGCCAGGGCAGGTTGCGTCATCATAGGGCCCTCATTTTCCCCTCTTGCCCTCCTTTTCACCCTCTCCCTTCCCATCACCACATCATGCTCACTCCTTCCTCCCACCACCCCAAGAAGTCTGCTCTGATCGCTTGACTTGGTTGCCCCTCTCTACTGGTGAGCTCTGCATGGTTGCTTCCTGATTCCTGCCCAAGGGTGGGTATCTGGTCTCTGCCTTTGATGTCTACTCATCACACCCCCCTCTCCTGGCCTCTCTGACCACCCCCAGGTCTCCTCGAACTCCACCAGCAGAGTATTCACAACCCTGGTCTTGTGTGATAAGCCCTTGTCCCAGGACCCACAGGACAGGGGGCCAGCCACTGCAGAGGTGCCCTATCCAGATGACCTCGTGGGATTCAAGCTGTTCCTGCCTGAAGGTGAGAGTGTGGCAGATGTCTGTTTTCTGCCAGCAGTATAAGCAGGATGCCTGGGTCCATGGCAATGTCTGCCCTGCTCTCCCCTTTTCACAGGGCCTTGTGACCACACCGTGGTCAAGCTCCAGCCAGGAGATATGGCTGCCATCACCACCAAGGTGCTCCGGGTGAATGGGGAGAAGATCTTGGAGGACTTCAGCAAGAGGCAGCAGCCAAAATTCAAGTCAGAGATGCTAGGGAGGCCCTTCTCCTCCAGAGGGGCACGTAGAGGCAGGGAGGGGCAGTGGTCTGGGAGTTTCCTCCAGCCTGAGGGAGACCATGAAGTGGTGGGGTTGTAGTGAGGGGGCTCCCCCAGCCTAAGGGAGACTGTGAAGTGGAGGTTGTAGTAAGAGGGCTTCCACAGCCTGAGGGAGGCTTCTGGGGGAGAGAAGATCTTACCCCAGATCTTAAGATCTGCTCCCTCTTCAGGAAGGATCCTCCCCTTGCAGCCGTGACCACTGCTGTCCAGGAACTGCTGCGTCTGGCTCAGGCCCACCCAGCCGGACCTCCCACCCTCGACCCTGTCAATGACCTGCAGCTCAAAGATATGTCAGTTGTAGAGGGTGGGCTCCGGGCCCGGAAGCTGGAGGAGCTGATCCAGGGGGCTCAGTGTGTACACAGCCCCCGTTTTCCTGCCCAGGTAGGACCCTGGGTGGTAACTCCCAAGCTGGGAGTAGGGGCTTTTCCTCTGTGGTCCCCTGTAGACTGACCGCCCCCATCTCAGCCCTTGTCCTCAGTGCACCCCTGCTAAGGGGCAAGGAGAAGGCTGACGGGTGGCTCTCTGCAGTACCTGAAGCTGCGGGAGCGAATGCAGATACAGAAGGAGATGGAGCGGCTGCGCTTCCTACTGTCGGATCAGTCATTGCTGCTGCTTCCTGAGTACCATCAGCGAGTAGAGGTGGGTGGGGCAGTGGTTGGGGCAGGGGGGCTAGGGGACAGCAGTGTGTCCAATGCCCACCCTTTTTCTTGCAGGTGCTCCGAACCCTGGGTTACGTGGACGAGGCGGGCACTGTGAAGCTGGCAGGGCGGGTGGCTTGTGCCATGAGCAGCCATGAGTTGCTCCTCACTGAGCTCATGTTTGACAATGCACTGAGCACCCTGCGGCCTGAGGAGATTGCTGCCTTGCTCTCTGGCCTGGTCTGCCAGAGCCCTGGGGACGCTGGGGATCAGCTCCCAAACACCCTCAAGCAGGTAGGGGACACCACCCCTTTCTCCCTGCCAGGGCTGTGGCATTCCTGACCTTCACCTTCAGGTAGTCCCCCAGGTGACCCCCTCCAGCCCTGTAAGTGCCCCAAGGATGGAAAATGGCTGCCTTCTTGATCTGGTCCTTCCCTGTCCTGGAGCAGGAAGGCAGGCCTTAACCTCTCCTTCTTTCCTGCAGGGAATAGAACGTGTCCGGGCTGTGGCCAAGCGGATTGGTGAGGTCCAGGTGGCTTGTGGCCTGAACCAGACGGTGGAGGAATTTGTGGGGGAGCTGAATTTTGGGCTGGTTGAGGTTGTATATGAGTGGGCCCGGGGCATGGTGAGTACCTGAGGTTTGGGATTTTGCAGACGGCTGGCTGGGGAGAACCTGCCCAGGCTGAGTGCATCCAGTCCTCACCCTACTTTCCCCACAGCCCTTCTCCGAGTTGGCAGGGCTCTCAGGGACCCCTGAGGGCCTGGTGGTCCGCTGCATTCAGCGCCTGGCTGAGATGTGTCGCTCACTGCGGGGGGCAGCCCGCCTGGTAGGAGAGCCTGTGCTGGGTGCCAAGATGGAGACAGCGGCTACCTTGCTACGGCGGGACATCGTATTTGCGGCCAGCCTCTACACCCAGTGAATGCCCCATGTAAAAACATGATGATAAAACAGCAAAGCACTGTTGTGTGCTTGAGTTGCTGGACAGGGATGACTCAGCTAAGAAGACAGCGAGAGAACCTCTTAGAAATATGCTTTTATTATCTGCACACAGAGATATGACTGCCTCCCTCTAAAGCATTACTATTTGGGAGAGGGAGTCTTGGGGGGTGATGGGAGGTCCTGAGTCATAGCTTCCACATACCATATGGGCAGGAAGGCGTAAGGTGCATCTTGGTGTACAGACACGGTGACTGGGCCGCCAGGCTCCCAAGAGAAGAGATGAACGAGCCTGGGGGGCAGATGGAGGCATCAGTTGAGGGCCAGAGGCTGGATCCTGGGATCCAGAGGGGAGGGACAGAGCTGAATGCCTCACCTGGGGTCATCCTGGACAACCGTGCTCTGGGCAAAGCTAAGGAAGGCGGCACAGAAGTTCATGCACACAGAGGGATTCCAGCCGTCACGGTCATTCTGGAGCAGGCAGAGGAGGAGGCAGAAGATGGGCAGTGGGGGTGGTGGGAGGAGAGAAGGCAGGCTGTTGCCCTGGATGCTAGACCTGTGGTCTTGGTGTTTGGGGATACGGGTGGGAGCTGCAACATCGTTCCCTTACCCTGACATATTCAAACATCTTCATGGTAGGAAAGGTCTTGAGGGAAGAGACAAAACCGTCTGGGTTACGGAAGCCAGCAACAACATTCGGGACCCCTGGGAGGAATGACTGAGCCCACCATTTCAGGAGCTTGTGTCTGACAGGAAAAGCAAGGGATCAGTGGGACCCCTCGTGCACCCTCCATTCTGCCTTCACCCTCCTCCCCAAGTCCCTTTCCCAGCCTTCAAGCCTAAGCTCTCGCCCTGCCCACCCCGATCCTGAACCTGTAGAAACTCCTCCATTGGCCAGGGCTGTGCATCTCCTTGGAGGTCTTGAGCTCCACATAGCAGGTTGGGGGCTGTGTGGATGGGGCTTGGGGGTCTGTGCAGTCTACCTCCCCTGAGAAGAGCAGAGGGTGGCTTCCCAGGCGGCTGCGTAGCACAGAGCAGAAGGCCACGTTGGTGTTAACCTCCCCAGAGGGGTCTGGGGAGCTTCCAGGTTTGTCTGCACAAGGAGAGAAGCAGCAGCAGGCGTGGGGGGCTCTCAACCTCTGGGAAGGGGAAGGGGGCTATGAAGCAGGGGCAACTCACCTGCACACATGTACTGCTCAAATTTGTATCCCATGTACATAAGCTCCCGGAGGAGCGGTGGCCGAGCAAGCCTCTGGGCCCGAGCGTTCGGTGTCTCCACTTCACTCAGGTATAGTGTTCCCTGGAACCGGGAGGCTGCCAGCTGCCAGCCCTCCTGCCGCTCATACGGTGTCGTCAGCAGTTTTGTCAGGTGCCCCCGCCACGTCACTATGGCCTCTGCCAGCCAGCCTGGACCCCTGAGAGGCAGGAGTTACAGGCTGAAGGTCTGACACAAGCATTAGTGAGATGCTCCCCTCGAAGAATAGTCTTGTTTCTTCTAAGGACTGATTCTCACCCCGGCTTTGGCTCTCCTAATTTTAGAGGGTAGGTACGGGTCTCCAGATATACTGCCTACCACGCTTTGCTCACCCCTCCAACCGGCCTCGGTGTTCCAGGAGCCAGCACAGCAGGTGGTCCAGCCTTTCCTGGACCTCCTCGTCCCGGGGCTGGTATCGATCCGGGTATCCGTCTCTGAGGTCAAAGTTGGGGCCTGGACCGTTAGTGGGGGGTGGGCTATAGTAGCGCAGGGCTCGGGCATCTCCATGGTACTGGCGTTGAGCATCCAGGGAGAAGCAGCCCAGTTCCGAAGGGCGCCGGTAGAAAGGAAAGGGCCCAGAGTAGAGGGCAGGGTCTGTGGGCAGAGAAGGTGCTGGACGAGGTAGTTTGTTCCGAGGCTCAGCTACCTCTGTCTTCTCAGCTCCTCTCTTGGTCCCCCTGGGATCCATGAGGTCCTAAGACAAGCAGGGGTACAGAGTTTCCATTCTACAGAGGAGGCCTGGAGAAGGATGACTGGTTTAGGACTAAGCGAGCCACCTGATCGCCAGGCTCTGGCCTTGAAACATTCAGGCCCCTCAGACGCCACCGCGGCCAAGCTCTCATCCTGCCTCTTTCCTTGCCCTTCACCCACCCTCCCTCCAGGTCCTCCAAATGCAGTGAGGTTAGGAAGGACGTCTGCGCTCAGATCAAGAATCCAGTTACCTCAAAGCTCCCCAACTTCCACCTCCGCAGAGCTATGACGTCATGGCAGGCACGCCAGAGGCCGAAGGATGCAAAAGTGGTTTTCTGCTTTCGATGATGCAATCATTCAGCGACAGTGGCGGGCAAACCCCTCCCGGGGCGGGGGAGGTGTGAGCTTCACGAAGGAGGTTGACACCAACGTGGCCACCGGCGCCCCTCCACGCCGCCAACGAGTCCCCGGGCGTGCGTGCCCTTGGAGGGAGCCAATCCGCGGCCGGCGTGGGGCCCGGCCTGGCGGAGGTGATGCTGGTATGTGCGTCGCCACCGCCCCTCCCAGCACTGACGGGCCTGAGGGACGACAAGTTGACGCTCCTTTCGTCATCACCTGGTCTAGGAGGGACGCCCGGGGAGACCGTACGTCACTGCTCTGCGCCGGAAGACCCTATTTTCAGGTTCTCTTCCCTCCATTCCTACCCCTTCCCCGGTACCATAAAATCCCGGGATATGAGCTGGAAGAGGCATCACCTGATCCCGGAGACCTTTGGAGTTAAGAGGCGGCGGAAGCGAGGGCCTGTGGAGTCGGATCCTCTTCGGGGTGAGCCAGGTAACCATGGCAACCCCGGGGGTGGGGCCTCGCTTCCGGTAGCCGAGAGTTTTGTTAGAACCGCGTCCCCGCCCCAGTTCCCTGTCCGTGAGCCGATTTATCTGCCCAGGGTCGGCGCGCGCGGCTGTCTCAGAACTCATGCAGCTGTTCCCGCGAGGCCTGTTTGAGGACGCGCTGCCGCCCATCGTGCTGAGGAGCCAGGTGTACAGCCTTGTGCCTGACAGGACCGTGGCCGACCGGCAGCTGGTGAGGGGCGTCGGTGCGACCGCCGGAAGCCCCTTTCCTAACTCCTGGAATTCCCTGTCACTCAGTCACTCCGCCAGCCGTTCAGCAAGCATTAGGCCTTTCAGGCGAGGGCACTGTGCCAGGCACTGGGGTGCCACAGAGACCCTGTTAAAAGTCCCGCAGGTAGTACAGGGCATTTCAAATCATGGAGGTAGAAGAACGAGGCTTTTGGGGAAACCGAGTCATGGGGCATGGTTCGAACATACAGCGCTGGGAGTGCAGTCAGACGTCAGATCATGACAGGCCTTGTACATCAGTGTTGTTTCCATCTTACACTGAGGCGATGGGCTGGTAGAGAATATCATAGAGAGAGGGAATGGTGTATTGGAGATAGTGGATGAGGCAGGGAGGTCAGCTAAGAAGATACTGCATCTGAGAAGTGGTGAAGGCCTAAATTAGGTCAGTGCAGTAGGGAGGGAGAGGAGAGTGAGGAAGAGGGAGGAGTCCAGGACAACTCAGACTTTCCAGATGACTGCGTGGCTGGTGGTATTAGGAGCACATTTAGTTGTTGGACTACAGATAATGTGTTTAATTTTATACAAGTTGAGTTGATGGTGCATGTGGAGCATCCAAAGACAAAGGTATTAGACAGTTGGATATGAGAGTTGGAGAGAATTCTGGGCCAGTGATAATAGAATTACAAGTCATGGAGGTGTGAATAGCAAGTGGTTAATTCTGTGATGTGGTGAGATCCAGTAGGAAGAGTGGGTAGAGGAGTGATTTCTAACCTTTTTGTAATCTTTAGAAGGTGATAAAAGCTATGGCTATCTCTCTCCAGAAAAATGCACGTTTGCCACATATACATAGGGTGTATGTATAGTTAGGGGGGAAATATTTTACTAATCCTGCGAGGTCCGTGGTTAAGGACTCCAGGTTTAGAGTGGAAGTTAATAGGGTCAAATCCACAATGCTGGGAAACACCATCATTTAAGGCAGTGTTACTGAATATATGAGCTGAGTTATTATGCCTGTGTCAAAATTACGTGGGCTGCTTGTTAAAAAAAATACAGGTTCCTGGGACTCATCCAAGGTTAATGAATTACGCTCTCTTGGGGCGGGATTTGGGACTCTACATTTTTGAACTGCCTCAAGTGCTTTTTAAGTGTGCCTTAAAATTTGAGATCCACTGACATAAAGGGAAAGCAGAAGAAGAGGAATCTGTGACAGAGGCAGAGAGGGACTTGCCTGAGTTAAGAGGAACCCAGAGGCCGGCGCGGTGGCTCACACCTGTAATCCCAGCACTTTGGGAGGCCGAGGTGGGTGGATCTCTTGAGCTCATGAGTTTGATACCAGCATGGGCAACATGACATAACCCCATCTCTACAAAAAATACAAAAATTAGCCAGGCGTGGTGGTACGCGCCTATAGAGCTACTGGGGAGGCTGAGGTGGGAGGATTGCTTGAGCTGGGGAGGCGGAGGTTGCAGTGAGCTGAGATAGCACCGCTGCACCCCACCCTGGGTGATAGAGCTAGACTTTGTCTCAAAAAAAAAAAAAAAAAAAAGTAACCCAGGAAGAGGCCTACTGTGAAAGTAAAGAGATTTTTGAGAAAGTGAAGTAGTTGGCAGTATTAGAACCTGTGATTCAAGACAGTGGTCTAAGAAGAGGGAAGAGGTAAAGTAAAATATAAACTGAAATCTAGGCTGAGTGTGGTGGCTCATGCCTGTACTCCCACCACTTTGGGAGACTGAGGCAGGAGTATAGCTTGAAACCAAAAGTTTGAGACCAGCCTGGGCAACAAAGTGAGACCCCATCTTTACTAAATAACTGAGATCCCATCTCTACTAAATAAATAAATTAAAACACAAAAATTCTTAGCTGGGCATGGTGGTGTGCACCTATTGTTCTAGCTGTTTGGGAAGTTGAGGCAGAAGGAGTGCTTGAGCCCAGGAATTTGAGGCTGCAGTGAGCTATGATTGCACGACTGCACTCCAGGCTGGGTAACAGAGGGAGACCCTGTCTCTAAAAAAATGAAAACAACAACAAAAAAACCCAGAACTGAAATCTGTCCATTGGATTTAGCAGGTAGAAGGTTAATAGTGATCTTTCAAGAAAAGAGGAAAGAAAAGGAAGGCAGTCTAGCACTCACTTGAGGTGAGCTAGTCTCCCTGACTAGGTCTCCCGTGAGGAAGCATGCCAGATGGAACCACTCCTTAAGGAGTATTTGTTGATTTTAATGTATTGGTGTTAGCTTTTGTTTTTAAAAACCTTTAAAAGTTGCAGAATGAAAATATAAACATATATAATTTAAATGATGTTTATAAAGCAGATACCTATCTAGCCACTCCCTAGGTCAAACTATAGAATATGACCAGTATCCCACATATATCCCTCTCTGATCAAAATGTCTCTGATCAGAATGTCCCTGGGAGGTGACTGCTGTGGTCATTGTTGCCTTAGTTTTCCCTTTTTTTTTTTTTTTTTTGAGGTGGAGTGTCGCTCTGTTGCCCAGGCTGGAGTGCAGTGGTGTGATCTCAACTCACTGCAACCTCTGCCTCCTGGGTTCAAGCAATTCTCCTGCCTCACTGTCCTGATTAGCTGAGACTACAGGCACGCGCCACCATGCCCAGCTAATTTTGGTATTTTTAGTAGAGATGGGGGTTTCATCATGTTGGCCATAATGGTCTTGATCTCCTGACCTCGTGATCTGCCCTCCTCGGCCTCCCAAAGTGCTGGGATTACAGGCATGATCCACCGCACCCGGCCTAATTTTGTATTTTTATAGGGATGGGGTTTCACCCTGTTGGCCAGGCTGGTCTCAAACTCCTGACTCAGATGATCTGCCTGCCTCGGCCTCCCAAAGTGCTGTTTTTTTTTTTTTTTAATTGTCTTTTTGATAATTCCACTATTTTTTTTTTTTTTGAAAAGTCTCCCATGTCTACCTCTTTCCACACAGACACGGCAACCATCCGATTTCTCAATCTTTTCCCCACCTTTTCCCGCTTTCTAGTCCACAAAACCACCATTGTCATCGTGGCCCGTTCTCAATGAGCTGTTGGGCACACCTCCCAGATGGGGTGGTGGCCGGGCAGAGGGGCTCCTCACTTCCCAGCAGGGGCGGCCGGGCAGAGGCGCCCCTCACCTCCCGGACAGGGCGGCTGGCCGGGCGGGGGGCTGACCCCCCCACCTCCCTCCCGGACGGGGCGGCTGGCCGGGCAGAGGGGCTCCTCACTTCCCAGTAGGGGCGGCCGGGCAGAGGCGCCCCTCACCTCCCGGACGAGGCGGCTGGCCGGGCGGGGGGGGCTGACCCCACCACCTCCCTCCCAGACGGGGCGGCTGGCCGGGTGGGGGGCTGACCCCCCACCTCCCTCCCGGACGGGGCGGCTGGCTGCGTGGGGGGCTGACCCCCCCACCTCCCTCCCGGACAGGGCGGCTGGCCGGGCAGAGGGGCTCCTCACTTCCCAGTAGGGGTGGCTGGGCAGGGGCGCCCCTCACCTCCCGGACGGGGTGGCTGGCCGGGCAGGTGGCTGACCCCCCCACCTCCCTCCTGGAGGGGGCGGCTGCCGGGCGGAGATGCTCCTCACTTCTCAGACGGGGCGGCTGCCGGGCGGAGGGTCTCCTCCCTTCTCAGACGGGGAGGCTGGGCAGAGACCCTCCTCACCTCCCAGACGGGGTCGCGGCCGGGCAGAGGCGCTCCTCACATCCCAGACGGGGCGGCGGGGCAAAGGCGCTCCCCACATCTCAGACGATGAGCGGCCGGGCAGAGACGCTCCTCACTTCCTAGATGGGATGGCGGCCGGGCAGAGACACTCCTCACTTTCCAGACTGGGCAGCCAGGCAGAGGGGCTCCTCACATCCCAGACAATGGGCGGCCAGGCAGAGACGCCCCTCACTTCCCAGACGGGGTGGCGGCCGGGCAGAGGCTGCACTCTGGGCACTTTGGGAGGCCAAGGCAGGCGGCTGGGAGGTGGAGGTTGTAGCAAGCCGAGATCCCGCCACTGCACTCCAGCCTGGGCACCATTGAGCACTGAGTGAACCAGACACCGTCTGCAATCGCGGCACCTCCGGAGGCCGAGGCTGGCGGATCACTCGCGGTTAGGAGCTGGAGACCAGCCCGGCCAACACAGCGAAACCCCGTCTCCACTAACAAAATACGAAAACCAGTCAGGCGTGGCGGCGCGCGCCTGCAATCGCAGGCACTCGGCAGGCTGAGGCAGGAGAGTCAGGCAGGGAGGTTGCAGTGAGCTGAGATGGCAGCAGTACAGTCCAGCTTCGGCTCGGCATCAGAGGGAGACCGTGGAAAGGATAATTCCACTATTACTTGTCTTTTGGGGTTTGTTTTTATTCTCTCTTTGAGTTTTGTTTCCTTATGCGCCCAGTTACTTTTGAAAATGTTCTGGGCAGATTTGCCTAGATTAATAAATGCCCTCCATGTTCCAATTACTTTTTTTTTTTTGAGACAGTGTCTTACCCTGTCACCAAGCTGGAGTGCAGTGGTATGATCTTGGCTCACTGCAACCTCTGCCTCCTGAGTTCAAGTGATTCTCCTGCCTCAGCCTCCCAAGTAGCTGGCATTACAGGCACCTGACACCACGCCCAGCTAATTTTTTTTTTTTTTTTTTTTTTGAGACGGAGTCTCGCTCTGTCACCCAGGCTGGAGTTCAGTGGCATGATCTTGGCTTACTGCAAGCTCTGCCTCCTGGGTTCACCCATTCTCCAGCCTCAGCCTCCCGAGTAGCTGGGACTACAGGTGCCCGCCACTATGCCTGGCTAATTGTTTTTTTTTTTGTATTTTTAGTAGAGATGGGGTTTCACCGTGTTAGCCAGGATGGTCTTGATCTCCGGACCTCGTGATCCACCCGTCTCAGCCTGCCAAAGTGCTGGGATTACAGGCATGAGCCACCGCATCTGGCCTATTTTTGTATTTTTAATGGAGACCGGGTTTCATCATGTTGGCCAGGCTGGTCTTGAACTTGAACTTCTGACCTCAAGTGATCCACCCTTAGCGTCCCAAAGTGCTGGGATTACAGGCATGAGCCACCGTGCCCGGCCCCAGTTATTTTTATTTTTATTTTTTGAGTTAGAGTCTCACTCTGTCACCCAGGCTGGAGCGCAGTGGCATGATCTCGGCTCATAGCAACTTTCTGGGTTCAAGCAGTTCTCCTGTGTCAGCCTCCTGAGTAGCTGGGACTACAGGCACACATCACCACGCCCGGCTAATTTTTGTAGTTTTAGTAGAGACGGGGTTTTACCATATTGGTCAGGCTGATATTGAACTCCTGACCTCAGGTGATCCACCCACGTCAGCCTCCCAAAGTGCCGGGATTACAGGCTTGAGCCATCTCGCCCGGCCTACTTAGATGTTATATTAGTGGTAATTCCTGTTATCCTGTGAGCTCTTTAGTGTCTAAACAATTTTTTTTAAGAGATGGGGTCTCACTGTGTTGCCCAGTTGCAATCATATCTTACTGCAGCCTCAAACTCCTGGGTCAAGTGATCCTCTTGCCTTAGTCTCCCAAGTAGCTAGGACCATAGGTGTCTGCCCCCACGCCTGGCTGTTTTTACATTTTTTGTAGAGATGTGGCGGGTGGGGGGGTCTCACTGTGTTGCCCAGACTGGTCTCGAACTCCTGTCCTCAATTGATCCTGCTACCTCAGCCTCCCAAAATGCTGAATTACAGGCATGAGCCACTGTACCTGGTCTTAAACAATTTTAAAATAACATTTTTATCCAGGATTTTAGTTAATTTTCAACAGGTGGATTAGTTCTTGCTGTATTCTCGTAAACAGAAGTCCTGGTTTATTTTTATTTGTTTTAAACATTGAATCCCATACTCCTCCCCACCTTACCCTACCCAGAATTTAGACTGTTAATGTTTTGAAGCCACAGCCTGCATCTTAATCACTATTTTATCTTAGTGCCTGGTCTTAGAAATTATATTGACTCTTTGATAGACCATATATAAGGCAGGTGGATGAGAATGTGGGTAGCTAGTTGGAAAAGGCTGCTTGGTCATTTGCTTGATTATTTTCTCACACAGTTTTTCCTTTACTAAGAGAAAATGCCCCCATATTGGCAAACAAAATCTCCCTGCCTGAGAGCACCCAGAGTATAGCAGAGCATCTTACCCTGATACGCCTCTTTTCACTCTCTTCTCTGTGGAGACAGAAGGAGCTTCAAGAGCAGGGGGAGATCAGAATCGTCCAGCTGGGCTTCGACTTGGATGCCCATGGAATTATCTTCACTGAGGACTACAGGACCAGAGTATGTGACTGTGTGCGTCAGGGGTGCTGGGGGGAGGGCACAGGTTGGGGGAGACAGGGAAGTTGGGAAACAGAAATAAAAACAAAAGAAAGAATTTCCCTGCCCCCACATCCCATGGAGAGGGCACAGGGCCCTGGTAAATAGTAATATGAGGGAGAGAGACAGGAGGGAAAGAGGGAGGAGTGAGAGGGTAAAGAGGGGGGGAGAGGAGGGGGAGGAGGAGGAAGGAAGGAGGGGGAGGAGGAGGGGGGGAGGAAGAGGGGGAGGAGGATGAAGAGGAGGAGGAAGAAGAAGGGTATGAGAGGTGGAAGGATCTGAGCAAGAGGTAAGACAGGAAGAGAAATGCTGTCCTGGGGGTGGAGGTTGGTAGAGAGTGAGGGTGGGGATGGACCATGTCTCTCATCTCTGCTTGTAGGTCCTCAAGGCCTGTGATGGCCGACCGTATGCTGGGGCAGTGCAGAAATTTCTAGCTTCAGTACTTCCAGCCTGTGGGGACCTTAGTTTCCAGCAGGACCAAATGACACAGACCTTTGGCTTCAGGGACTCAGAAATCACGTGAGACTTGTGGAACCAACCAAAGTCAGGCATCTGGTGCTTCCCTGCCTCCCTCCAGTTCCATCCAGCCTGTCCTCCTGTTTTTTTGGTGAACCTGCCAGAAAAGCTGCCAAAAAGCTGACTCTTCTTTTTAATAAAATGACCCAAGTTTGTATTCCTCCCCACAAGAGAGGAGGCCTATCTTACCTGGGCCTTAGAAAGAGCCCTGAAATAGAATTCAGTTCTTGGTGGCTTATCAAAAGCACACAGGGGCCTGGCAGGAAGTGTAAAAGCTTGATGTTAATCATACTGGGACTAAGAGGATAGAGAATGGTAGGAGCTGGGATACCCCTAAACATTCACATTAAAACAAAAAAAACCCAAAGCTAAAAAACAACTGGGCAGGAGCTAAATAAAAATCTAATTTTGAGAGGCTGTATCTGGCTCAGGCCTCCTACTTTGTAACCCATGGAATATGTGAAAGCATTTGAAAAACTATAGCACTGATCTCACATGGGCAGACACACTCTCAGAGAGATGTGGTGGGAGCCATGGCGCAGTCTGCCTAGGCAGTGGCAGGAGCGCAGAAGACTCTGATTCCTCTCCTCGGTCCTAAGACCGAATGTGTGTCAGGACATGTGGTCAGGGAAGAGAAGCTATTTAACTGAACCAGTAATAGTAGCAGGAAAAGAAAAAGTGGAGGGAGGGCAGTCCAGGTAGGGGGCCTGGAACAAGCAACTGCACCAACAGAGGCAGTTGGTGCGAGCACAGAACCACCCCAGGCTGGGATTTTGTTATCCAGTCTCTCTTGCATGGTTGCCCGTGTTTCTGGAGACTTGTGTAAACATTAATGGATGAGGAGGAGAGATGGTTCTCAGAGCCCAGCCCTCATCTCTGCTGGCTTCCCACTGCCCTCAGGCATCTGGTGAATGCTGGAGTCCTCACCGTCCGAGATGCTGGGAGCTGGTGGCTAGCTGTGCCTGGAGCTGGGAGATTCATCAAGTACTTTGTTAAAGGTATCCCATCTGCAGCTCAAGCCTGCAGCCCCTCACCTTTTGGTGGCTCCTCAGGCCTCTAGGCCTTATTCACCTTTCCCCTTTCCTGTGCCACTTCTCCTCTAGGGCGCCAGGCTGTCCTTAGCATGGTCCGGAAGGCAAAGTACCGGGAACTGCTCCTATCAGAGCTCCTGGGCCGGCGGGCGCCTGTCGTGGTGCGGCTTGGCCTCACCTACCATGTGCACGACCTCATTGGGGCCCAGCTAGTGGACTGGTGAGTCTTTCCCTGGCCTCTGGCAGATTATGGAGCAATGACCCAAAGTGGGATTTCCTCCCAGCTCATGCTTAGTTTCCTAGTGAAGGCCAGTGGCTCTCATTCTTCTCTGGAACCCGGGAGCACCCCTTCCCAAGTTCTAAGTTCTCCTCACAGCTTGAGCCTAGGCGTCTGGCTCCAGCCTTGTCTTTCTCCTGCACAGCATCTCTACCACTTCAGGAACCCTCCTCCGCCTGCCAGAGACATGAAGATTCTGCTCATCATTGCTCAGCTCCTCAGAGTGGGCCGGGAGGGGACTAGAAGAGCTGCATGATGGTGGCTGAGACAGGGTCACCTTGGGAAGGCTTGGGAGCCAGGATGAGTGTCGGGCTCTCGTGTGTGCAAAAGGTCAGATGTGACTGCTGCTGTTTGCCTGGTTTCTGACCCAGTGGTGGGGTTTGAGCAATGCTTCTCTGCCCTTCCATGGAAAGTGGAACCAGAAATGGTGCCAAGGCTGTGGCTGTTCCCTTTCGTGTAAAATGGTGCTGTTATTACTCTGTCTTGAAATAGGAAGGTGGGATTTCTGGGGAGGCTGGTGAAGGAGGGCAGGGTTCTTTTCTCTACGTGTCATGTTAAAATTGCCAAATAAAGTACCTCTGCCTGTGATATTTTCTGGATGTCCTTTATTTACTGTGACGTGTGTTTGGGTGCCTTGTTTAGGGGTAGAGGTGAAGTCTGAGCTTTGCCTCATTCAGAGAGGAAAGGGGTCAGGGGTTCACTCTGACGTTCAGGCCATTCTCCCTGTGGAGTGGTGAGGGTGTACCTAATCTCCTAAACCACGGAATTTCTGTTAGGGCCTAAAAAAGCAAAAGCCTAGTATAGTTCAATTTGTGTTGGAATGAAAGTAAGAGACAAGTGTCTTAGAAGCCTGTCATTGTTTTGTGAGGGCCTTTAAATATCCTGTACTCGTGGGCCATGTTGGGCCCTTGTACGCCCAGGTATACATGAGCTTGTGTGCACCTATACCCTGATACAGATATACCTGGTAGGGGGAGGTGCTCAGGCACTGGAATGAGAGGAGTTAACGGGGAAGGACAGGGTTATTTCTGGGCCAAGATTCAGAGTTTCCCATGGACACCCAGGTGTCCGGGGTGCCCCCACAACTCTGGGCCTGAGGCCAGTTGCACTTCTTGGCTGTCACGTGGTTTCCCAGCTTAGCTGGGCTGGGGGAGGAGCAAGGTCCAGAGTCAACTCTGCCCCGAGGCCTAGC